>NC_000001.11:204851253-205002768 GCF_000001405.40 Homo sapiens
AAATTATTGTAATATAATTTGACCCCCAAGACTGATATAACATCTAAAAATGTGTTAACAAATCATGCTTTTCTTTTTTTTTTTTTTTTCTTTTTTTGAGACGGAGTCTCACTTTGTCACCCAGGCTGCAGTGCAGTGGCATGATCCTGACTCACTGCAACCTCCACCTCCCAGGTTCAAGTGATTCTCATGCCTCAGCCTCTGGAGTAGCTGGGACTACAGGTGCATGCCACCATGCCTGGCCAATTTTTGTGTTTTTAGTGGAGATGGAGTTTCACCATATTGGCCAGGCTGTTCTCAAACTCCTGACCTCAAGTGATCGGCCCACCTCAGCCTCCCAAAGCGCTGGAATTAGAGTCATGAGCCACCACACCAGGTCAAATCATGCTTTTATTATCTAGTTAATCTGGAATAAATTGAACAGTATGTGCCATTGCTAAATGGGGAAAAAGTTGAAATTTGCCTTTATGCATATAACAATCAACATTAAATATTGTGTTAAAACTACACTTTGTAAAAATTTTCATAGTAAGCTGATCTAAAATTACATATTTTAAAACTTAAAATAATCAACATTAACCAAATATTCTAAAATTCCCTTGGGGTGATCACAAGATAAAAAAGATGAAAGGATTAGAAAGAACAATCTCCAGGATTCTGGCTTTGATGCTCTGGAATTCTAAGATGGTACAGGGTCTGAAAATCATGAAGAACAGGTGAGTATAGTAGTTTTCTAGGAGTGAGGGATGTAATGTGCCCCCCATGCCCTAGGATTGTTGTTAGAAACAGGATTAGACACAGTCTTTAAGAGTCTACATAGCAGAACTAAAATCAGAGAGCAGCTTTCTGTCTAGTTTATCCAAGAACTTTCTAATCATGGGAATCACTGGATATTAGAATTGGAAGGAGCATTAGCGATCATCTGATCCCATTAGAGCTGCCCCCAAATAGAAAGTGGAGTAAGGCTTGGCGTGGTAGCTCATGCCTGTAATCTCAGCACTTTGGGAGGCTGAGATGGGTGGATCATCTGAGGTCAGGAGTTCAAGACCAGCCTGGCCAAAATGGCGAAACCCCATCTCTACTAAAAATAGAAAAAATTAGCTGAGCGTGGTGGCATGTGCCTGTAGTCCCAGCTACTTGAGAAGCTGAGGCAGGAGAATCTCTGGAACCTGGGAGACAGAGGTGGCAGTGAGCTGAGATCGCGCCACTGCACTCCAACCTGGGTGACAGAGTGAAACTCCGTCTGAAAAACAAAACAAAACAAAACAGAAAGTGGAGTGAGAATCCTTGTGAGAAGTAAGTGCTACATCTTAGGATGTGTTTAAGCAGAGGCTGGTTGACCCATGCCTGGGACAATGGCCTCTGTTTGGGCCTTCATGGCTGGAGCCTTCCTGAGGCTCAGAAATGAGCATGGCCACATGGGCAGTATTCCCTTCCATCCTCTCCTACCAGCTGAGTTTTCTTTGGCAAAGTTCAGTCCATAGATGGGTGAGCTCAGGGCCTGGTCCTGGGACTCTGGGGGTACTGCTGTGGCACCATGGAGCTCTCACCAGCCTCCTGGGCTTGCCTCATCTGGGTGAGCTGGCTTGTGTGTCTTCAGTGACATGAGAATTTTAAGTACATGTTTTGGGGACGGGGGCAGTGACCTTTGAAAGAGAGGCTGACGGTCTGGTCTGGAGGCAAGTCCCATGGACTTGAATTCAAGACACACCTGGGGCCTTGCCTAGCCCACAGCATCTACTGCCTTGTCAATAGACAGTGTTCCCATGCCACCTCCTCCCAGCCTGGCTTGATACTATTATGACCCCACTAACAGATGGGAAGCAATGCTGTGGAAAGCCTAAACCCCAGATAATCTACAACCCACATTTGGTTTAGGAATGATCTACTGGATGTCATTTCTAAAACATAGATTATCCTTCCTAATTTTTATTTAGTCAAGGCTGAAAAAAATGTTTTAATATACTTGGAGTCCATATTAGAAGTGGCTAGCCTAGAATGTGTTCAGGCTCAGAAATAAGCTGTCCCAGACCTGAACATTTGCTGCAGATAATTGAGGATTGCTTTTAGTTCCCCATAATCACATTAGCTCATATTTTTGTATGTTAATCCTCTTCAACTTTAGTTATTTCCTCTGTGTGTATGTGTGTCCCCCATGTCCCCCATTTAGACTTGACTGGCTTCCCAGAGCTGCAGCCTAGAGCCTTCTTTCTGCATCTCTTCTTACCTAGGGCTTAGTCACTGGCTCCTGTAGTACTTTGAGGTGTAGTTAAGCGGAAGCCAACTGAAGCATAGGGTTTATAACCTGGAGCCAGTGCTTTGTGTTCTATTCCTATCTGGGGAGACCTTTGTTGGGTATATGTGCATGTGTCCTAAACACAGCTGTTCACACAGCTGCTATCTCTTGGTATTGTGCCAAACCCATACCAGCCCCCTATATTGCACTGAACTGAGAGAAGACTCTGATGCTCTTGGCTTGTCCCACTTGGAGAGAGAGAAGGGAGTCCCCATGGTGAAGGTGTGAATGAGTTTCTTAGCTGGGTTTCTCAAAACACCCCTTTCTGCCTGCTATTCCTACCCATCGGGGCCAGCTAGGCACACCCCTGGGTCTCTCCTGGCAAGGGGGAACCCATCCATAGGGGAGAGAGGGGGAGGAAAGAGACAGGCCACAAGAGAGCTGATTGTGGGGGCTTCTGCTTGGCTTCTTTTCTGCTCCTCCTTGGGAAGGGCTCCAAGAAAGCCTCCTGCCTGTCTCACAAACCTAGACATAGCCATTAGCATAATCTCATAGCTAAATTGTTCACTGACTGCCACTAGGCTGCCCATTCCCCACCCCCACCCACCAGCCTTTTTGCCTGACCTATTCATAGACTCTCAGCAAGAGCCAAAACTCTTGGCCAGTTATCAATGTCTCTTGTTTGCTCTGTTCCTTGGGTAGTGGGCTCATCAAGGGGATGCACGAGTTGGGGGCTGTGTGGGAGTAGCCTCACCTACTTCCATCTCTGTCACGTCAGGCCCCTTCATTTTTGGTTGATGCCTAACCCAATAGGTGAATGCCTATCTTGCCAGTAAGGGAGCTGGCACCTGGGAACTTGGTGTGAGACATAGACCCCGGTTGCGTTGCCTTCCCCCACCCTCCTGACCTGGGAAATCCTCTAAGCTGACCTAATTACCTGCAGTAGGGAAAGCATATGGATTCCCAGCAGATGCTGCAGTTTGAGGAGGGAGGGGACCCTGGGACAGGTGGGTGTGTGCATGACTCTGGGATTAACCCTTTGGCTGCTGCCTCCTTAGGACAGCATCTCCTTTCACTTTGCCATCCTTGTGGGAATGAACAACTCTGGAGTTCTCTCAAGCTGGTTAGCCCTCTCCAGGGCATTCATCTCTGGGACACAAAGCATCAACTTAGTGCCAACTTAGCACTGACTTGGGGGACTTTCTGCTCCTTTCACTTGGCACTGATCATCAGTAGATGGGTCTACTTAGCCAGAAGCCCTAATCTTTGCTTCTTCAAGGTTCCCTGTTCAGTACCCTGGCAAGTCCTTGGTAAGAAGTAGTTTTCCTCTGAGCCCTCTCCTGGCCTCACTCTGGGCTAATAGCTGCTTCTCCAGACCCAATACCATCAGAGAAGCTGAGATACTTGGGAGTGGTATACAAGGTATCTTCACCCAGCTCATCACGCAGTGATTGAGTGTGTGCTTTGCTAATAGTGTCTTACATTGTCACAGTGCTCTTTTACTTGCATTGGAGAGCCTCCTTTGAGCTTCCTGACAGCACTGCAAGGTACTCTTGGGAGCCCTCACAAGGACTCCTGAGACTCAGGCTCCATCAGTGAGTGAGGGATAGAGCCAGGATCTATCTGCTGTCAGTCCACCTGACTCCAGCAACAGTGCTCTTCGCACTATCAGAGCTGCTGCATTAGTGTAGATAGAGCATATGTATAATGAGACTTAGCCTCTTACCTCAAGGGCATTATCTTAGTTTGGAAGCAAGGTTTACCCATGCAGAAAAAGACTCAAGAATACTATTCCATGCTGAAACACAACTGTATAACTGGGAACCAAGAGACAGCAATGGGATTGAGAAGGAGAAAGGCCACTGTTGACTGGAGTCATTGGGGAAGGCTTTGTGGAAAAGGCAGACTTTAAGCTAGACCTTAAAAGATCAATAATATTTTGATACATGGTGAAAAAACGAAAAAAGACTTTAGAAATTAGGACCTAGGAAAGACTGTGGTGGGAATGGGGTGGGTGAGATATGGGGAGGAGGAATAGTAAAGAGACCTCTGAGCACAGGGCAAGGTGTATTATTGAACAGGAGGGCACTGAGCGAGGGCTGAATTCCAAGGTCAAGTCAAACCCAGTTGGACCCAAGAGACTGGAGGAGAAGAGGCCAGGGCTGCCTCACACAAGGACCCTTAGAACAGGGACACAATTCTAAAGCATTGCCTTGGACCTCACCCTCCAACCCTTGCTGCTATGGTCTCACCTGCCCTCCATGCTCCTAGAAGCAGGAGTTTTAGACCCAGAATCCCTGCTTGTTGACATAGCTAGAGATCCAGCAGATATTCTGAGATCCACTGAATGAGGTCTCTAAAGTGGAAACCATGTAACTGGGATTGGGCAGGAAAAGCTTTCAGGGAGGAGAAGCACAAGAGAAATATTTATGAAAGACCATCCTGTTGGACCTTTTATATATGTTTCATTAACTCTTACAATGACCCTATGAAGCAACTATTATCATTATCCCCAGTTCACACAAGAGGAAGCTGAAGCTCAGAGAGATTAGAGTAACTTGCTCTTGGTGACACCGCCAGTCCACGGCTAGGGCCTTTTGACTCATAATTGCTGTTCCCTCCTGCCTCCCTGCTTGTAAAAAGACTGAAAAGTTATGGTCTTTGCCCTCGAGAGCTTGCAGTCCAATTGGAAGAACAGGCTCAAAAGGCCAAGAAGACCCCTAAGAGTACTGGGCAACAGGGTGGGGAAAGTGAATATACAGACAGATGGCTGTTGCAGACAAAGCTTCCCAAATGAAGCTACACTTCGGGACATCAGTGAGGGTGGTGGACAGGGAGAAGGCCAGTTCTGATGGAGTTGGTCACAAAAGTGCCAAGGAGAGATGCAGAACAGGTGTGTGTGTGTGTGTGTGTGTGTGTGTGTGTGTGTGATTGTGTGAAGAAACGTCTGCCAAACATATGTAAAAAAGAAACTAGAACGATCCCCCATGTACCTAATGTCTAAATTTTAAAAATAAGTTATTGAGGTAAAATTTGCATGACATAAAATTAATAATTTTCAAGTGAACGATTCAGTGACATTTAGCAGATTCACAATATTGTGCAGCTATCTCCTCTCTCTAGTTTCCAAACTTTTTCTTCATCCCAGAAGATCACCCCATACCCATTGAAAAGTCATTCCCCATTCTCCCTCTCCCTATCCCCTGGCCATCACTAATCTGCTTTCTGTCAGTATGAATTTGCCTTTTCTGGATATTTCATATTAAAGAAATCATACAATATGTAGCCTTTTATAGCTGGCTTCTTTCACTTAGTTTTCACTAATGTTTTCAAGGTTCATCCACATTGCGGCATGCATCAGTACTACATCCCTTTTTATGGCTGAATAATATTCCATCATAGGTATATACCAGAATTTGTTTCTCCATTCACCTGCAAATAGATTTTTGGACTGTTTCCACCTTTCTGCTATTATGCATAGTGCTGCTATGAACACATAAGTACATGTGCTTGTTTGAGTACCTGCTTTCGATTCTTTGGGGCATTTATATACCTAGGAATGGAATTGCAGGGTCATGTGGTAATTCTGTGTTTAGCTTGTGGAGGAAATGCTAAGCTGTTTTCTAGAGGCTGCACCATGTTATGTTCCCACCAGCAGTGCATGAGGGCTCCAGTTTCCCCTCCTCTTCCTTGCTAGTGCTTGTCTTTTGACTTGAAGATGACCCCTTACAATTTTACACACTGAACTCAGCACAGCAGGTGCCACCTTTTCCTCAAAGTGGGCCCAAAATCCCACCCAGCTTGGGCCAGGAGCCTTGGCCACTTCTCGATTCTGCTTCCCATACTTGCTCTGGCATCGCCAACCTTGTCTTCTCTTAGGTTGGGAGACTGGACTTGTAGAAGTTGGAATATCCTGCTGTGATGGTCATCGGAGCAGAATAACCCAAAATATATGCAGTTTCCTGCACGGCGTGCCCCTGCCTGCCTAGCAACAGGTCAATTGGCTGGTTTCTGGGCTGGGCTGTCCTGCCTGCCCCTCGAGTGCCCTCTGTCTCCCCTGTCGCAGCCCCCAGAATCCCATTGTGTGACCACGTGGGATCTCAAAGTCTGCTGACCCTGCTGCTGGGATGTTTTCAGTCCTGCTTGGGTGCCCCAAAATGTCAGCTGGCTTGAAGGGATGTACACTGCTAGTAGGGTGGTGTTTTTGTTTGCTAGGGCTGACAAAACAAAGTACCACAACCCTGGTGGCTTCAACAACAGAAACTTCTTTCCCCACAATTCTGGAAGCTGGAAGCCTGAGATCAAATTGTTGACAGGGTTGGTTTCTTTTGCAGGGTCCTCTACTTGGCTGCAGATGGCCACTTCTCCCTGTGTCTCCATGTGGTCCTCCCTCTGCAAATGTCTGTGTCCTAGTCTCCTTCTTCTTCTTCTTTTTTTTTTTTTTTTTGAGATGGAGTTTCACTCTTGTCACCCAGGCTGGAGTGCAATGGCGCGATCTCAGCTTACTACGGCCTCCACCTCCGGGGTTCAAGCAATTCTCCTGTCTCAGCCTCCCAAGTAGCTAGGATTACAGGCGCCTGCCGTAACCCCCAGCTAATTTTTGTATTTTTAGTAGAGATGGGGTTTCACCATGCTGGCCAGGCTGGTTTTGAACTCCTAACCTCAGGTGATCCACCTGCCTCAGCCTCCCAAAGTGCTGGGATTATAGGTGTGAGCCACCGAGGCTGGCCTAATCTCCTCTTCTTATAAGGATGCCAGTCATATTGGATTAAGGCCTACCCATGTGAGCTCCTTTTACCTTAATTACCTCTTTAAAGGTCCTGTCTCCAAATACTGCTCAGTCATATTCTGCACCCATACCGGGATAGAACACCAAATGTGCATAATAATAAGGGAGGGGGAAGGGCATCTGGGAGAGGCCTTGTGGTTCCTCTGGGCTCCTGTTTTGGTCTGAGTGACTCATCCAAGCAAATACAGAACAGGTGGAGGGGAAGAGAGTCATGATGGCAACGAAGAGGGCACTGGGGACTTCGGGGAGGTGGGAGAAGCAGTGTCCATGATCAATAATTTATTCCTGGATACTAGGCAGGAGGGCGTTGTCATGGCAACAGGCAGCTCCAGCAGGGACTCCTCTGGAGTCCCCTCTCCTCACTCCCTCCGCTCCCCCTCCTGCCTTCCCTGCTTTCTCTTGCCGCTTCCCTTCCTCATCATTTTCCTTGACTGTCTCAGGAGGCTTTTTGCGGAGTGGAGACTGCCTGCACCTGCTCCGTGTAGGAGCTCTGGGGCTCCCAACAGCCATGGCAGCTCCTTCCCCACCGGGGTCGTAACCCTGACTCTTCTTTCTGGAAAGACCCCAGTGAGGGGCCATCTCACTGATTCCCCACCGCCAGGCATCTTGCTTTAGTGGAAGCACACGGGGCACTCCTTTATCTCACAGCCGGTTTTACCACCCGTCTCTTGCCCTCCGCTATTCAGTTGAATGCACTGACTTTTTTTTTTTTTTTTTGAGACAGAGTCTTGCTCTGTCGCCCAGGCTGGAGTGCAGTGACGCAGTCTCGGCTCACTGCAGCCTCTGCCTCCCGGGTGCCAGCGATTCTCCTACCTCAGTCTCTTGGGTAGCTGGTATTACAGGCGCATGCCAACACGCCTGGCTAATTTTTATAATCTTAGTAGAGACGGGGTTTCGCCATGTTGGCCAGGCTGGTCTTGAACTCCTGACCTCAGGTGATCCACCCACCTCGGCGAATGCACTGACTTCTAACCATGCTCTGCTCACTGTGCCAGGTGCTTCTGTCCTCAGAGAGATCCCCCAAGCCAGGCAGCCGGGCAGGGTCTTCCCCCGCCTTAGCCCCTAGATGGGACCATCCTTGGGACTGCTCATCATTGGCCACAGCAGTTGGTCCTTCATCTCTTCCTCCTGTCCTCAGTGGATGGGAAGATGCCAGGAGCATATGGCCAACCAGAAAGTCTGTGTACCTCACTATACTGTAAGCTCCATGGCAGGGATTCTGTCCTTAGTGCCACATAGTGGGTGCCCAGTAAATTATCTGTGCTATATTGTGGAAAACATGAGACAGGTCTGAAGGATGTCTGAGACAACAACTGGGTCTTGGGTCTCTAAACCAATATTTCCCAGAGGCTGGGTCTTGGGTCCCGCAGCTGCACTGAAGGAATCCATTGAATATTTAAAGTTGTTTTTTATGCACATTAAAATTCACTGCTCCCATAATTTACTGGCTGTAACAACTAGTAAGGGATCTGGGCCTAAAATAACCATTTAAGACTTAATGTTATTAGTCTTGTAATTGCTGCTAAGGGTCTTGTCTTTTCTCTGAGTTTGTAAATCCTCATGCACAAAGATTAGGAAAACATACCCCTAAGCTGGAGGGCGCCAAGGGGACTGGGCAGTTGGAGACCAAACTCAGCTGCCTTCCTGATGTGTTGGTTTCCTAATAAAGCCTTGAGCTGGGGGTGCAGATATAGCCGTGGAGCATCTGTGAGCATCCTTGGGGATCAGGGAAGAAAGGGAGGGGTTACCCGGCAGAAGAGTGTGGCGTGGGCTGCCCTCATGACAAGCAGCTGCCAGTGGAGAAAAGAGCCTTATCTTCAGGGAAGGGACAGCTCCTTCCCAGCCTACAGGCTCACACCCTGATGGCCCAGGAGAGATAGCAGTGATGTTGTAATCAAATGGCCATGATACTGCAGGCAGGGATTAGAGTCACCAAGAAAACTAGCTGTATTGGAAATGTCTTCCTCTGGCTTATCTCAGGAACTGTTCCTGCTTCTCCCTGCAGGGGATCATTTTCCAACATGCCTGTCTCTAGTCCTCATCAAAAAGCATTTATGAAAGGCCTGATAAGTTTTGGTGTGGTGAGAGGTCAGGGCACATGGGCTGACTGTCACTGGAGTGTGGGCCAGTGTCCCCTGTGCCACCCTCACTTGTCTGCCACCTGTGAGGGTCTCAACACTGCTGCCTGTGAGAGCTGCCAACCAGAGCCATCAGCTGCTGCTCTCCCATACCAGAGCTCTCCTAGCAGAATTTAGCACAGAAATTCTGCCCACTTCTTTTTTCTTTGGGGAAAAAGGTAAAATACACTTAACATAAAATTGGTTAAAATTTACCGTTTTAAAGTATGCAATTCAGTGGCATTTAGTACATTTACAATGCTGTGCAACCACCACCACTATCTAATTCCTTAAGACTTTTATTACCCCAAAAGGAAACCCTCTACCAATGAAGTGGTCACTTCCCATTCTTTCTTCCCTTTAGCCCCTGGCAATCATTAATCAGTTTTTTCTCTATAGACTTGCCTATTCTGGACACTTCATGTCAGTGGAATCATATAATATATGGCCTTTTGTGGACTTAGTATCATGTCTTCAAGGTTTATCCACATTGTAGCATGGATCAGTTCTTCATTCCTTTTTGTGGCTGAATAATACTCAATTATCTATATATGGCACATTTTTATTTCTCCATTCATCCATTGATGGACCATTTGGGTTTTTTTTTCTACCTTTGAGCTATTGTGAATAGTGTTGCTATGAACATTTTTGTGTACAAGTTTTAGTTTGAATACTTGCTTTCCTTTTTTTTTTTTTTTTTTTTTTTTTTTGGAGACAAGATCTCATTCTGTCATCCAGGCTGGAGTGCAGTGGTGCAATCATCTGTCACTGCAGCTTTGACCTCCTGGGCACAAGCAATCCTCCCACCTCAACCTCCTGAGTAACTGGGACTACAGGCATGCACCACCACACCCAGCTAATTTTTGTATTTTTTGTAGAGATGAGGTTTCTCCATGTTGCCCAGATTGGCCTGCAACTCCTGAGCTCAACTGATCCACCTGCCTTGGCCTCCCAAAGTGCTGGGATTATAGGTATGAGCCACTCCACCTGACCTGAGCACTTGCTTTCAATTCTTCTGGGTATATACCTAGGAGTGGAATTGCTGGGTCATATGGTAATTCAACATTTGGCTTATTGAGGAACTGCCAGACTCATCTCACTTCTTTTTTTTTGAGACGGAGTCTCGCTCTGTTGCCCAAGCTGGAGTGCAGTGGCGTGATCTCAGCTCACTGCAAGCTCCGCCTTCAGGGTTCACGCCATTCTCCTGCCTCAGCCTCCCGAGTAGCTGGGACTACAGGCTCCTGCCACCACGCCCGGCTAATTTTTTGTATTTTTAGTAGAGACGGGGTTTCACCATGTTAGCCAGGATGGTCTCGATCTCCTGACCTCGTGATCTGCCCACCTCGGCCTCCCAAAGTGCTGGGATTACAGGCGTGAGCCACCGCACCCGGCCTCTTCTCACTTCTTGACACATGCCAGTCTGTGTCTTCTTTTGAGCGAGTGGACAGCCTCCCTGTACCCACTCCAGACTCATGAACTTTGGCAGCCACTTTTGGTTGGTTTCTGGTTCTTAGCCTCTGGTCAAGACGCAGTGACATGGGTGGACACAACATGGGGATCTAGCATTAACAATGGGGTGATTTCTAATTATTTTTAGTGGTGTTACCAGATCTTATTTACTCATACATGTGCTGTCCTCTGAAACTGTACCATGTTGTGGGCTGCATATTTGTTCCTATAATGAAGCCAGTGCTCAAAACCTTGTTTCATCCTGTGTAGGAATAGCCTTCAGAGTTCTTGCCTTGATAATCATTCTTTGCTTTTGACACTAAACAGTATTCCCAACTGCATCACCCACCATCTTTCCCATTCTTGGCTCTATCTTTCAACTTAAGAAAAAAAATTACCATCTACCCTCATAGGATAAAGATTTGTCACCATGGGGTCCCATCAAAAGAATATACTGTAGGCTTGAAAGCAGTTCCAAAAGAAAAGCTTCTGAAATGTTCTAAGCACTGGTGGGTGCATTGTTGGAATATGTATATAGCTTCCCAAGGGGACTTCTTTGAAGGAGACAGCACTAATTTAAATGTATAAATTCTGGTGTGTTCATTTAAAAGATCAGCTGGAAGGCTTTATAGGCATATAATAAAAAGTCGATGTGAATGGTTATTGAATTATGTACACCTCCAGGAAATCAAAGAAAGAGTTTTACTTTAGGAGTTTTAGAGAGATCAAGTTTAAAATATAACCTGGGAGTTTGGTGGGATGGTTAACACAAAATAGTATTACCCAGCTGCTAGAGAGGAGAAGGGTCAGTGGGGAGACCAAAGGCTTGGAACAAGCATCTCATCTTCATAAGGGTTAGGAGGTCACTTAGGTAGTCTGGCTAGGAAGGGGAAGTTGCTATTTTTATTATTCTTTATCTTTGGAGGGCAGTGTGAGGAGGGAGGCTGGTGAGAAGTACAGGTGAACTGGAACCTTGGTGAGTTAAGTTTTTAAATTTTTTAAATAGCACATCTCTTGCTATAGCCTAGACTACTCAAGGCTTCCCTGTAAACTTCAAATATTTTAGCCAGCTTTGGAAGCCTGGCAGAGAAGCTTTGGACCAAGCACTTAGGCCAATGTGCTGGGTGTGTTTGACCTACTGGATGTGGTGCTTTTCCTCCTCGTTCAAAAACTAAAGTCAGCACAGAATGGGGTAGAAGTAAAGTCATCTGGAGAGTAGACTGGAGGGAAGTGATGGGTCAGAGTTTAGTCTGGTTCTTTCGAGATTTCAGAGGTACACTGGAGACTGGTGACACTGTCCCTATTTGACAACCAGGCCTGGGAAGTGGATGACAGGGTCAGCGGAATTTCAGAGCCAAGAATAGATCCCCAGCTCCATGCCATCACCACAGTAACTCACTCCGGAGTTTGAAGAATATCGCCCTCTGGGGAAATAGCGCTTCTGAAAACTGTTTCATGTCTTTGTCTCATTTATCCCAGCAATCATTTATTTGGGGTCAGATATTGATGGATTTGACAGCAAAGCAGTGAAGGATGTTGCAGTGATTTTTAAAAACATTTTTATTGTGATGAAACACAGTTGTCTATATAATAGAAAACTTGCTATTTCAACCATTTTGTAGACATACAACTCAGTTACATTTAGTATATTCACAATGTTGTGTAACCATCACTACTTTTCTGTTTCCAGAACGTTTTCACCCCAGACAGAAACTCTGTAACCAGCCAGGCGCAGTGGCTCAGGTCTGTAATCCTAGCACTTTGGAAGGCCGAGGGGGGTGGATCAACTGAGGTCAGGAGTTCGAGACCAGTCTAGCCAACATGGTGAACCCCGTCTCTACTAAAAATACAAAAATTAGTCAGGCGTGGTGGCGGGTGCCTGTAGTCCCACTACTCGGGAGCCTGAGCCAGAAGAATTGCTTGAACCCAGGGGGCAGAGGTTGCAGTGAGCCAAGATCGCGCCACTTTACTCCAGCCTAGGTGAAAAAGCAAGACTCTGTCTCAAAAAAAAAAAAAAAAGAAAGAAGGAAAAGAAAGAAAAGGAAGGAAGGAAGGATGGAAAGAAGAAAGGGAAAGGAAAGGAGGAAGAAAGAGAGAGAGAAAGAGAGAAAGAAAGAAAGAGAAAGAAAAGAAAGAAAGAAAAAGAAAGAAACTCTATAACCATTAAGCATTAACTTCCTATTATCTACTCCTCCCAGCCTTTGGTAATCTTGAATCTACTCTCTGTCTCTACGAATTTGTCCATTACATTACATATATTTCACATAAATGGAATCATACAGTATTTGTTCTTTTGTGTCTGGTTTATTTCACTTAGCATAATATTTTCAAGGTTGAAATGTATCAGAACTTCATTCTTTTTTATTGCTGAATAATATTCCATGGTATGAATGCACACCGTTTTGTTTATCCACTCATCTGTTGAGGACACTTGCATTGTCTCCATCTTTTGGCTGTTGTGAACAATGCTGCAGTGAATATTGTATATAAGTACCTGTTTGAATTCCTGTTTTCAGTTCTTTTGGGTATACACCCAGGAGTGAAATTGCAGGGTCGTATATTAACTCTTATGTTTAACTTTTTGAGAAACTACCAGACTGTTTTCCAAAGTGGCTGCACTATTTTACATTCCCATCCAGCAGTGTACAAGTGTTCCAATTTCTCCACATCCTCACCAACACTTGTTATTTTTCATTTTATTGATTATAGCCATCCTCTACACATCCTATAGTAGGTGTGAAGTGGTATCTCATTGTTTTGATTTGCATTTCCCTATAATGATTAATGATATTGAACATCTTTTCATGTGCTTCTTGGCCATTTATGTGTCTTCTCTGGAGAAATGTCTGTTCAAAGTTCCTTGCTGTTTTTAAATTGGCTTTTGGTCTTTTGTTGTGGTTATTGTTGTTGGGTTTTAGGAGTTCCTGATATAGCCTGGATATTAAACCCTTATTAAGTGGAATAAGCTGTATCTTCACAGCACAAACCCTCAGCCTACCCTAGAGAACCTTGGGATTTGCATCTGTTTTCTCCCGTTCTGTAGGTTGTCTTTTCACTTTATTGATAACATCCTTCAATACATAAAAGATTTACATTTTGATGAAGCCCAATTTATCTCACCTTGTTGCTGGTGCATTGGTGTTACATCTAAAAGTCCATTAACAAACCCAAGGTTATGAAGTTTTACTTCTAGTTTTCTTCTAAGAGTTTTATGGTTTTAGCACTCATATTTGGGTTGTTGACCCATTTTTGACTCAGTTTTTATATATATTAGTGCCCCTTTATCCATGAGGGATACATTTCAAGATCCCCAGTGGTTGCCTGAAACCATGGGTAGTACTGAACCCCATATATACTATGTTTTTTCTTATGCATACATAGCTATGTTAAAGTTTAATTTATAAATTAGGCACAGTAACAGATTAACAGCAATAACTAATAATAAAATAGAAAACTTATACTGTAATAAAAGTCATGTGAATGTAGTCTCTCTCTCTCAAAATATCTTAATGTACTGTATTCACCTATTTTCAGACCACAGTTGACCTTGGGTAACAGAGACCTCAGAAATCAAAACTTTCAATAAGGCAGGGGGGACTACTGTAGTGTGAGGTTTGTAGTTTGGGGTATAACTTCATTCTTTTGATGTGGAAATACAGTTTTCCTAGCACCATTTGTTGAAGAAACTGTTCTTTCCCCATTGAGTGGACTTGGTACTCTTGTCAAAAATCAGTTGACCATAGAAATATGGGTTTATTTGTGGACTCTCAATTCTATTCCATTGGTATGAAAGTTTTTCCTTATCCCACTACAACACTGATTTGATTACCATAGCTTTGTAGTATGTTTTGAAATCAGGAAATGTGAGTCTCTGACTTTATTCTTCTTCTTCAAGATTGTTTTGCCTAGTTGAGGCCTCTTGCAATTTCATATGAATTTGAGTATAATCATTCTTGAGCATAGTGCTGGCTTCTGTTGGCTGAATACCCAGAGGTAGAACTGTGGGGCCACAGGATAGAAGTATGTTCAGCCTTAGTACACACCGGCAGTTTTACAAAGTGATTGTGCCAATTTACCCTTCTGCCAGCAGTGTATGGGAGTTCCATTTGTACCACACCCTTATCAATATTTGATATGCCAATCCTTTTGTAAAATTTAACCTTTCTGGTAGACTGCCCTAAAATTATGAGTCAAACATTGCTATCTCCTTCAAGGGGCAGCCAAAGTGCAGTCATCCACAACTTTGCTCAAGTGGACTTTCTCCTAGCACTGGGTCTTGGAGATTGCTTCTTGCTTCCTTCCCCATCAGCAGCAATCAGGGTCTAGCTCAGGTCCGGAGGCTGGAGCTCTGGCTGGTGGAAGAGGCAGAATAAGCTGTATCCTCACACTGCCAAACCTCAGCCCACCTGAGAGAATCTTGGGATTTGGAGTGTGTGCGTAGTGGGGGCAGAGAGGATGATCAAGGGATGCTAAAGGAAAAATGGTAACTGGATGCCGTCTTGGCTGCAGGAGTTGGATATGATTCCAGTGTGGATGGGGCTTTTGGAGCTATGCCGAGCCCTTGAGAGGTCAGTTCTTAGGTAACCATGCTTCCAAGAATTAAGAAGCTGGCAGACCTGTCTCATTTGACCTTGAAAAGGCTCTTTCAGCTACCGATCCTGAGTCCAGAAAGGGTAAAAGGCTTTTCCCAGCCCTACAGCACCCTGGGGCTGGAAACTCTCAGGCCTGTGCCTTATACTTGCTCAGCTCTAAAGGCCCTGAGGCAGTGAGCACTCTTTCCACTCACAGCTTGCTGCATAGGTGAACTCAAGTTTAGTAAACATTCACTGCAAGCCTGTGTGTGCAATACATCAAACTAGGCACCTTGGAAGCTGCAAAGGACATAATATGAACTCCCTGACTATAAGTTTTTCATCATCTGGTAGAGGAGGAAATATCTGCACATATCATTACAATGAATCTTTGCTTAGTGATGGAGATACATAATGTCCTTTGGAAGCCAGGGCAGGAGAGTTCATGTCCCACCTTGAGAGATTTGGTGTACCATATCCATGGTTAGTGCGTGGACATGAAGGGTTGGATTGGCTTCCTGGAGGAGGTGGCATTGGTACTGGGCCTTAGAGGATGAATAGGATTTGTTGGGCAAATTTTACTCCAGAGATGGAGTAAAGGAATTGTAGGCAAAGAAACAAAAAAAGCAGCAGTGTAGATGTTACTATCCTGGACATTTGGAGAAAAACAGGTGCAGTCGGATTACTGAATGCTGACAAGGGGGGACCCCTAGATGTCAGCCTGGAGGAGCTAGATTTGATTTTGCAGAAACAGGGAGTCCCTGTTGGATTTGCACATGGAAGATTTATTTAGTGTTGCTCCTAATTGGAGAGCATTCTGGTAACAACAGGGAGACCATGGGACTGCTCCACCCACACAGAAACAGAAATACAATACCCATATCCAGATAGGCATATGTGCCCACAAACACACATACAGGAACTAGGACAAACAAACACACTGAGACCTAGAGACCCACATATCAAAACACATAGTCATACTATCAGAACTCACCACACACACACACACACACACACACACACACTACACAATCCGTAAACCCAAGAAAACACATATTCAATACCACACACATGTCCTGAATACCTATAGACACATGAAGGCTGACAGATGCCCACATGTACTGAGTCACACTAAGGCACACACATATAAGTCAGATAGATCCCCTGTGCCTGATATACACAAACGCCCACCAAGCCTGGCAGGTATACATGCACATTTAGACTTATACATACACCAACACGCTTACACACACACACACGGCCAGAACATGCTCACACTCACTGAAGCCCCTCCCCAGAGACACACATGCTATCTGCGCACTCATGGTCACACGCTCATGCATAGGCACAGCCACAGGCAGACCCACATAGCAGCCACTCCAAGCAGAGACAGAGACAGGCCCTGGCGGGTACCGACTCAGCCCATGGCTGCCTGGTGGCACCTCACACCCTCCTCCAAGGCTCTCTTCTAAATGACTTGTCTCTTGGCTTCCAGCCCTGGGTCATCCTGGGGTCTCAGCCCTGGACAGGCCCTCGAGGCAGTCACATCCTACCTCCTACTCAGTGCTGAGATTTCTAAGCTCCTCTGACAGGGTTACCCAGCTTCTGCTTAAATATTTCAGACAAAATACTTTGTGGTGACAAGTTTCCCGTTGTAATAGCGTTCACTTTCCACGCTGGGAAATGGGGATTATGCACCCAGGGATGAGACTGGACCCTTCACTGCAGTAGTTACAGTCAGTGAGCAAATCCAGCTGGACGGCCTCTGGCCTGCTCAGTCCACCCTGTCCCCAAGTCCCTGTGGGCTGCACTTGGCCACAGGATCAACAGTTCCCCTAAGTCATTGTATTGCTGATCTCTTCTGGTGTGGGAGAGCAGGTGGGCTGGATGTGGCACACCAGACCTCTTTGGAGGGAGCTGTGGCTGGCAGGGGAGTAAGCCTTGGGGAATCGGAGGAGCACGACCTGGCTGCCCTGCCTAGGATGCCTAGGACATGCTGGCGCTCTCCCCCAGGCAGGCCAGCTGTTACTAGAGCCACTCTGCATTGGCACGGGCTGTCCTCTGTGAATGTGACCCACATTCAGGCCTGCCCAGCAGCTGTCTTCCCCTACCACATTCCTCTTTCTGGCTGCCAACCCCTCCTGGCTTCCTGTTCCCTATCGGCATTAGGCTCCCTGGGTTGAGAAAGGGGCTGCTGTCCACAGGTGGCTTTGGGAGATGGGCTGGGCAGGTGTGGCTGCCTCTATGAGGAGAAAAGCCGCAGGAACTGCAAAGCGATGGCTTCCAACACTGAGCTGAGCTCAGAGCAGGCAGAGAACAGGAGGCAGGAGCATGGGGGCAGCTACCCTCTGGGTCTGCCCACCCCTCCAACCCCCAGGCCACCCAGCAGGGGGTCATCTGGATGTCACCTGATTTTCTCAGCATTTTATCCCCTTTTGTTCCGCTTCAATGTGGGATCAATCTGATCTCTCCATTAACCCCTCTGTACCTTGCTGATATGGAAAAGGGCTGCCTCTTCCGGGGCAGAACTTTGCCCCTGACCTGGGCTGCTCACTCTGTTCTGGCTCTGAGTCTTAGGGCCAACGCCTTCCATCCTGGTTGTGCCTTTCCCCTCTATCCTTCCCATTCCCTTACAAACTCCATTAGCCCTGTATTCATTATAGGCAAGAGAAATGGCTCAACAGGAGCCCCTGTGAAAAGGCCAGATGGGGGCTAGATGTGGGGCTGGAGGGAGCCAGGGTGGGAGTGCGGGTTGTTGACTTGAAGCTCAGTATGAGCCAATAGTGGGATGTGGTGGTTGAAGAGGCATCACAACATGAGCCTGTCCCAAAGGGCTGCCCCGTGCACCCTGTGTGGGGAAATTATGCCCTGCCCTGGGCGCCATACCACAATGAGTACTTTATCTTGTTAACAAAAGTGATTTATGTTTACATTGCAGAACACTTAGAAAAGATAAATAAACACAAAGGGAAAAAAAGCAAATTATCCATAATTTCACTGCTCAAAGATAGTCATTCTTCTCCTATATTTATAATCTGTTTTTTACTCAATCTTCCATTTGATTAAAATATTTTACTATATTATTTTATCATTTTGATAAAATATATCATATTTCATTGCTTATGAGAGTATTAAGAGTACAGGCCAGTTTCTTAGCATTTACCATATGTATTAGGTACTGTCATTTAGAGAATCTTTGTACTCAAGTTGACTGTGATCCCAGTTGTACAAATAAGGAAACTGAGGCACAGTTTCCCGAGGCTCGCCTGCACTAAGTAACTTGCCCAAGGCAACATGGCCAATAAATGGCAGAGCCAAATTTTGAACCCAGGTCGCCTGCTCCAGAGCTCTTATAATCTCCACACTATACTGACTTTCAAACCATGGGCGTGCCATAGTTTGTTTATCATTTCCTGTAGTGATGGTTGTTTAGGTTGTTTCTAACTTTTTCTTATCATTATAAACAATATTCTGCTGAATATTTGTGTGACTTAAATATTTTAATTATCTTTGATTATTTAAGATCCATTCCCAGAAATGGAATTTATGCAATGAAGGGTATAAACATTTTTAAGATGTTTTCATGTTTTTCCAAACTCCCTTCTGGGAATGCTGTTATCAGGGGACGCCTCCTCCAGGAGGGTAGGAGAGCTGAGCCTTACACTCTAGGAGAATCTCTGACCCAGTGAAGTTTGTCCATCTCAGAGGAAGCAGGACAATGTGGTGAGTGGAAATAGTTTCATCAGGGGAGGTTGAAGGGACTGGAGATATTTAGCCTGCAGAAGATAGGGACAAGGGCCACACGCATGGCTGTAATCAAATGTGTAATGGGCTGTCAAGTGAAAGAGAGAGGTTTGTCCTGAGGCTCTCGAGCAGAAGTGGACCAGGGGACCAAAGTTGCGGAGAGCCATTGTTCTGTGCGGGAGCCATTGTCCTGTGTGGGGCCAGCACACAGCCCTGGATGGAACAGGGTGGGTATTACATAAAGGTTACATGACCAGCTGCCACCTCTGGCTTGGGTTCATGGAGGACGTGTGCATGGGGGAGGGCCAGGACCACCCCCGCCACACTGTGCTCCCCTACAAAACATGACGTCTCTGAATCTTAACAGGGGGGTCTGCTCCCCACCCCACCCCCGCCTTGGGGAGCCTGGCCCGGCCTGGTACGTCTCTCTGTCTATCCCCTCAGGAGCACAGCCTGGCTTGTGTCATGGGCCACACAACTCTTCCATTATGCATGAGGGAGACCCAGCGGTGAGCGAGTGAGCAAGCCGGCCGAGGGAGGGGTGAGTGGTTATTAATAAACAAGTGTATTGTGTGGCGTTCCATTCACGGCACTCTCAGAGGACGTGGTGGGCTTGAGATAATAAAGCCCTGTTTATGCCACGGAGGGCTGGGGAGGTGGCCGATGGGGGTGACAAGGAGCAGGGAAGCCAGGAATTATTTTGATTCCACCCAGGGCAGGGCTGCTGTGTTTTCTCTGAGGCCAACTTTCAGGGAAAAGAAGGATCTTGCTGGGATTTTGCTCAGGCCTAAGTCTGCCAGCTGGGATGGCCTGGGGCCTAAGAAATGCCTAGCTTCCCTCCCCACCTGTCCCCATGGAGGGAGACTGAGAAGACGCTGGATGAACCAGACCATGGCTCCTTCAGGAGAGAGGTAGGATGGTCAACTCTGCCCTCCCTCTTGGCCTCTCATCCTCACCCCATTCCTCCTGCTTTGGCCTTCAAAGACTCTGAAGCGGTGTGTGCTAGGATTGTGCATACTTTCCCAACAAAGCTAAGACTGTGGTTGTGCACAAGGGCTGCAAGAATCTTCCCGGCCCAGGGAGTGGATTGGTTGGGGTTAAGATCTGAAATATGAAGTAGGCAGGCTTGAAGGGGAAAGAGGTGGTGGTACTGGTCTCCTGTCCTAAATGAGCTGAAATTTTAGGAGGAAGAGAGGCCAAGGACAAGGCTCCAAAGCCCCTGTGTGGGTGGGCAGGGGAGCTTTGATTTGAGGAATGAGGGTGTCTGGAAAAGTGAGATGCCGGAGAGCATTTTAGAGGAGGGAGACTCAGTGTTGTGCGTCTAATTGTGAAGCCTGTGTTAACTCTGTGGCGTGTCTCTGTCCTACGTTAGTCTTCTCCTGTTCCCTCGTTTGGCCATTTGCTCTGGGCTCCACCATCTCAAACCAGCTGTCTCCCTCCTGAGTCTTGGCATTTCTGGATCTCAGGATCTCAGGCCAGGAATGCAGAAGCTGCTGGTTGGGAGGAAGTGAGAATAGTCCCTTTTGCTCTCAGCTGGCTTCTAGGGATGGAGAGCAGTTTCTGGGTCAGGAGAGCCTTGGTTTCCTGTCACTTCATGCTAAACCAAAACAAGAGTGAAGACAGAGCCCACACAGGCTTATGTCACCTGGTCTGGCTGATGATGTTCACTTTGACCTTTGGAGGTGGCTTTGGTCCAGAGCTACCCTGAGTTAGGAAACTCTTTCATGTCAAGACAGCTCTGTCTACAGAGATGTGTACTGGTTTGTTGTTGGTTGGGAGGGAAAAAGGAGGCTGATGGAAGGGACAGTCTGTCTTGTCCTTTGGGTACAGGGCTCCCTGAAGCAGGGGTTTGGATCCAGTGACTTTAAAGTTTTGTTTGGGTTGAAGATTCAGTGACCGTACTTAACCCAGGAAGGTTCGAGGCTGCATTAGGGCCAGAACAAACTGATGATCCCAGGTTATTGGAGTATTGCCTCCCTGGCTCAGACCAATTCAACCTTCCCAGAGGCAGTCAGACCTCACCCCAGGACAGAGTGTCAGGAGCATTGCGGAGTGCTCCCTCAACCCTATGCACAAAGCAAACGGTACAGTTTTCCCTGAGCATCACGCATCCCAGGCCTGAGTGCCGCAGGGTGATGAGGAGGCTCTACAGAGAATTGCAGCTCCTTCCTGGACTCTCCTTGGCTCCCACAGGCACTGTGGACACTTGCTTCCCATCTCCCTCCCACGGTCTGAAGGAGCAGTGACTATTTTTAGAAGCATCTGCATGCTCCTGGGAGCACTGTTTCTGTGGTTTATTGCTGGGCTGAATGCACAGGAGCTGGTGAGACAGCTGGGGCTGGGGAGCGCAGGCTTGTGTGTGGTCAACTCAACCGCAGTCAGCCGGCTGGGCACCTGGCCTGGAGGAATGACCCAGTGTCCTCCACCAAGCTTTTTGGGGGCTCCTACTGGCTCTGTTGTAACATTGTCATTTGCTGTGGGAGGCTTCCTGGAAGATGAGGGCCTTCATCATAGAGTTGGGCAGGCTGAGTCATCCTTGGACAACCCTCTCTCTGAGGCTGATGTGCTCAGGGTGCAACAGGAGGAATTGGTGAGATGGCCTCCCCCAGTGATGGCAACACCATCAACAACTATAATCACAATGGCTCTTCACTGAGAGCCTTCTCCATGGTAGGCAGTTCTCTGAGCATTGGATGTTTGTCCTCATATAAACCTTTCAACAACCTATGCTATCTTCATTTTAAAATCAAGGATCCTGAAACCCAGAGAAGTTAAGCATGTTGCCTGGTGTCACACTGTCGGTGACTGAGCCAGGCCCAAGAACCTGTTCTTTTAGAGCCCCTATGCTTGGAGTCTCTTGGAGCTTGCTGCCATGTTGCCTCTCAGTAGAAGACAATAAAGTGGGTTATTTTGGTGTCCATAAGAAGGACTGAGGTCAGATGCAAGGAAATACTTCCTGACAGTGAGGGGGGCTATGTGAAATGTTCTTCCTTCCAGGCACCTTGCATTTGAAAGGCACCTTGCATTTCAGAGGGGAGCTCTCTTGCAGGCTGGACTCTGGATTAATGACCACTCAAGACATTTTCTCTCTTGGGATTTTGGCAGCTCTGTTTTCTGGACCCTGGGCCAGCAGTGGTCTGCCATGAAAGATGCTGGACCATGTGTCAGTAAGAACAGGGAGCAACCAGCCAGCAGCTCTGGGTACACCAAGTACCTGGCTGGGATTTGGAGTCCTAGGAAAAAGCCAGGGAGGCCAGAGAATCCCCCAGGCTTAGAGAAGAAGCCCGAGAGAGAGAAACCACTCCCGTGGTTTAGTGGACATTTCATTTCTGCCTTTGAGTCAGATGTGCCTGTTCACCCAGAAAGAAGCCTTTGGCTTCTGCTGGGGCCTCTGTTCCTGGGCCTCCCACCACAGAGCACACAAGGAGCTGGACAGATCCCGGGGAAGGCTTCGTTCTTTACCTAGGACACAAGCATCTGCGGGTCATGTGTGCTAGGGACAGCTGCTGGGGGCCTTCCATTCTGAGGCAATGAAGAAGCCAGAGAAAAGAGCCCCTCAGTGGGCTTGGTGAGCCATCTGGATGGGGATGGGGGACTCTTCTTTGCCAACCAGCTGGGCTGCTGTAGCTTTTACTTCCCCTCTGTCACCCTGATCTGTACCATGGCAGCAGTCTCAGGAGAATGTTCTGGGGGTGGGGTACGGGCTGTGTCTTCTCCCTCCAGGAGCTGCAGTGGGGAGCAGGGCAGCTAACACCCTGCAAGTAGCATGGCACAGTGGGTGGACAGGTGGGGTTGGAGCCAGACTGCGGGGGAACAGTCCCAGTTCAGCCCCTAGCTGGGTGACCTCTGGTTTCATCATCTGTCAAGTGTGATATTAATAGCACCTGCCTCTTGGATTTTGAGAAGATAAATGAACTAATCCATGAAATCATTAGCACAGGAGTAGGAAGGAGGAGGCTCTCTCTGTCCAGTCCTATGCAGCCTTTGTTCCCCTTCGTTCCTACCCAGCCGAAATCTTCCTGCGCTGGGGGACAGGCCCATGTTGGAGGTGTCCTCACTGTGTCTCCTGCCGCTGGGCTTGGCTCAGGTTAAATAACCCATGGTCTCCATGTTGCCTCCTGCTGCCACTCCCTTTTGTCGTAGGAGCCAGTGCAAGACCACATGCTAAATTCCAGTTCTTCTGCCCCCTGGGCTGCCTTTCGCCCCATTTTGGGTCTCTGGAGGTGAGCATCGTCTTCTGGTGTACGCCAGGCTTCTGACTTCCTGTTCTTCCTCACAGCTCAGTAGTATCTGGCTGCTTGGGGGCCTGGGAGTGGAATCACGTGGCTTTATTCCACCCGCTCTGCCCTGTGACAGGCTCTCCAGGGCCCTGCCCCCGGTTCCCATTCCTGCACTTCCAACCCACCATCCTGAATCTACTTCCCTCCACCCTCGGGCCCTGGGTCCTGATGGCATCTGCCCCAGATCCTTCCCGCCTCTGCCGGTGCCCTTCTACCCTCCCCACCTAGGCCTGGGGCCTGGTCTGAATGTCATCTTGGTTTATACTTCTCAGGGATTCAAGCACACTTTGCATGCCTAAAGCAAACTTCTCTTGACATTTAAAGGAGGGCCCGGTGATAGAGTCAGCCCCACATTTATAATCACTTCGGAAAAGGAGAGGTAACTTTCCACTTTGCTGTAGACTGAATAAGGTCAAAATGAGAGGGGTGGGTGGTGGGGGCAGGTGGCATCATACTTTCTGGCTACCCTCAGTCACTGCTCCATTCTTTGATATGTCTTTATTTAGTCCCTCAGTAACCTAATGGAGGCAAATACCACAATCCCCATTTTATAGATGGGGAAACACGTTAAGTGACTTGCCTAAGGTTACACAGCAATTAGGTAGGAAAGTCAAGATTTGAGTGTGGGTCTGCTTTGTTGTTGTTGTTGTTGTTGTTGTTGTTGTTGTTGTTTGAATCATTCAGCCTCTAGAAGAAAGTGGGTTGGATAAGGTGCTCATATTGATGTAGACACATCTGCATTTTGATTATCCTTAAGCTGGATTTCTGAGTGTGAACAAATCCAAATCTCCTGTTCACATTGCATCTTCCTCACTCCCCATCCCTTGGCTATGGGCCCTTCTCTCATAAAGAGGCCTGGGAGGCACTGAAGGGAAGATGGGAGACCCCAGCCTTCCACTGTTTTCCACTGGTCTAACCTCCAGGTTAGACCAGGAGCCTGGCAACACTACTGAGGCTGTCTGCCTCCCAGAAGTCACATGTGCCTAAGAGGTGACTATATTTTGCTGGAGGAAGTGGAAAGAAGAACAGAGTAGGGAATCTGGAGGTGCCTGAGTCATACGGGATTAGAAAGTTAAGGTGCTTCTTTTCCCTAAAAACAGTCTAGGAGGGAACATTCTGCAAAGTGATTGCAGATTGTCGGGAGGCCTCGAGGGCTGGAGAGGTGCAGTCCAATGAGATTGCTTGGATCTCCAGGCCCGGGTTCTCTTCTGAGTGCTCCCCTGCCCTTTCCCCCCACCACGCCCCTCAGGTCCCCTGCTGTGGGTTCTTTGTAGGAGAAGATGTAAGTGACATGGTAATGGCCCTAAGCACACACCAGAAGCCAACGGTAGATACCAGCCACCCTGTTCCTCCCCACTCCCACAAATCTCCAACCAAGACAGGATGTTATTAACTAGTTTTTGAGGGAACATTTGGAACTCTAACTTCTATCAGACTGAGGAGAGGTCTGATAGGGTCTTTGTTTGACTGACTCTGAAATTCCAGGGTTGGTGGGGAAAAGTGGAAGGAGGAGGGGTCTGCAACCCTCTTAGACTCAGCCTAGAATTGCCTGGTAATACACAGTCATTTGGGATGTATTGTCTTCCTTCCTAAGCCTTTAAGATAGGCCTCCTAAATTACTAGTGAGGCATGGGGCGCTCTTGCTTTATTTCTTAGAGATTTTTTGTTTGTTCATTTTTGGTTTTTTCTCAACTTTGAAAATCAACTGTATCAAGGTATAATTTACACTCAATAAAATGTAGTCATTTTAGAGTACAGATGCGTTTTGACAAATGTATATGCCCCATGTAACCACCACTCCAATCAAGATGGAGTATATTTCTATTGCCCCCTAAAAATCTCCTCATCCAGTTTACAGTCCACCGCCACCCCACAGCCCCTGCATATTTTAAGGATACTTTCAGCTCTAGGGAAAAAAAGATATAAACTAAAGCCAAAATTTTGCCATTATGATATATCTTTCTTTTCTTTCTTTTGTCATTATTTTCTTATTTCATCATGGTAAAATATGTACAACATACAATTTACTATTTTAACTATTTTTAAATGTACAGTTTGGTGGCATTAAGTACATTCACTTATTATATAACCATCATCACTACACCCATCTTCAAAACCCTTTCATGCTCCCCAACTAGAACTGACCATTAAACACTACCTCCTCATTCTCCCCTCCTTCCAGCCCCTGGCAACCGCCATTCTACTTTCTCTCTCTTTGAACTTAGCTACGCTAGGAACCTCAATAAGTGGAATCATACAGTATTTGTGCTTTTGTGTCTGGCTTATCTCACTTAACATAATGTTGTCAAGGCTCATTATATTGCAGCAAGTATCAGAATTTTATTCCTTTTCCAGGCTGAATAATATTCTATTGTATGTGTTGTCAACTGAAGAATCGTGGGACTCATAAATGTGGAGAGGAGAGCTTTGTTTTTTATAAAGATTTGCAGCAGCTTGTAGGCTCGGAAGCATAGCCTCTGGTAGAAACCAAAAGCAGGCACTTTGATGGAGGGAAGGGTAGAACAGGAATTTATGCCAAATGAGTTGGCTAAATATGTATATATATATATATATATATATATATATATAATATATATTTATATATATATAATATATTTATTTATATATTTATATATATATAATATATTTATTTATATATTTATATATAAATAATATTAAATGTTAAAATATTAAATAATATATAAATATATATTTAATAGATTATAGGAGGAAATGTGAATATTCACAAAGCAGGGGATGCACACATGCACAGTAAGCAAACATGCATGTTACATACATCTCATGTTCACTTTGGAATGGAGACTTAACATTTAAACGCATTAAAATTAGGCTCTGCACACCCAATGGTGAAATGGAAGGCACAGAGGCATCCTATACACAGCGTCTGTGAAACGGCCAGAACCAGTGCATGGTCAGTGGTCTCCTGTTGGGAAGCCGTGCTGGTCACTTGTATCAAAACTGCAAAATGGAACAGGCAGGCAGTTGGTTGAAATCGGGGGTGGATCAAGTCTTTGGAAAGGGTAAGTTTCTATTTAACCTTTAGGAAGGAAACTCTGATAGTAGTTACTGAGGTGGGAGGTATAATGAGGTATGTCTGACCTCCCATCCCATCATGGCCTGGAACTCAATTTTTAAGGTTTCTATGGGGGTCCCCTTGGCCAAGAGGGGTTCCATGCAGTCGATCGGGGGACTTAGGCTTCTGTTTTTATTTATCAATATATACTACATTTTGTTTATCCATTTATCCATTGGTGGACATTTGGGTTGTTTCCACCTTTTGGCTGTTGTGAGTAACGCTGTCATAAACATTGGTGTGCAAATATCTATTCGGGTCATTATGGTATTTGAGTGCTCAGCAGCATCTCCTAGCAACTTCTCCTGGTTCAACCTGCCCTCGCACCAGGACCCGGAGTGGAATGCATTTCTGCTCCTCATCTGCTGCCCTGTCTCCTCTGACTTCGTGCCTGTGGCAAATGATGTTTCAAACACTGCAGCCCTTGATGGGTACTTCCGGACCCAGGCTTCCCAGGCAATAGAGTTTGGAGTTCCTTTCCCCAGAAGCTTTCTTTTCAGTGTATCTAGGTTTCTCCTGGCCAGCAGCTGACTTCTGGAGTTTGATTCCATTAAGCTTGTTAATGCAAGAATACAACAGAACATCTTTGTTTCCTCAAGGAAAAAAGACTAAATTTTATCAAACATCTACTAGGTACTGGTTCAAGGTGTCAGCACAGCACTAAAAACTTCACCTTCTTTTATACAGCAGCTCTGTGAGATAGGGTCAAAATTTGTTTCAAGGGCAAAGAAACTGAGGAGAGTCTCAGAGAGGTTAAGTCACTTGTCCAAGATCACAAAAGCCAACACTCTTTCTCTACACCAACTAAATATTAGTAAATGCAGTTTTCGCCGTTAAAAAAACATAATGGCAAAAACCGCAATTACTTTTGCACTAACTTAATAACTCCCTGGTCTTGTAAATGCAAATGTGCTAGAGAAATTTCCTGGATGTTTTCTTTTACAATGGAAATCAGGCCTGGAGTTCCCCTGATAATTTGGAAAGAAAACCCCTTGGGCTTTCTTGCCCTAGTTCTGGTAAAATATGGAATTATAATTAAAGTTTTGTTGTGTTTTTCAAAATATACAAAAGTAAAGAGTGTAGTATAATGAATCCCCACATACCCATCACTCAGCTTCAGCCATGATCAACACTTGGCCAGTCTTGTTTCATCCAGCGGATTCTTCTCTTTGATCTGCGGGATCCTCCCAATTCATGTGGTAGCAGTTGGTGTGTTTTGGAAGAGGGTAGGAGAGTCGGCAGATCTGGGCACCGTGGAGCTAAATCCTTCCCAGCTGGAAGAGTGTTAATTGCCACCGGTTGAATCCCCTCTGATGGTTCATTATTCATCTGGTTACTGAACACCATCCAGGAGGCAGGGGGACAGATCTTTGGAGAGGCCTGGCCAGAACTGGTGGGGTGGGTTGCACAGAGGCTTCCCTTTTGAAGAGCAATTTCTTCCTACAGTTTGATTTTTATTGGAGATTCTTCTGAGTGGAAAAAAAGAAGGTTATTTGAGGATAACCTTCCCCTTAGGGGAATAGCACTGAGCCAAGCTAATCTGAGGACAGAAGTAGGGACCAACCAGTGCAAAACAAGTCTGTGGCCTCTTCAACTAGATTTAATGAACATTTTTATTTTGTAAATGAAATTTAAAATATCTGCAGCATGCCAGACACTAGGTGCTTTGAATGCAACTATGACAAGTTGGTTAATCTACTCTCAAAAAGTTTGTGGGACAAAAAAATAATAGTGAATAACTAACATTTGTTATGTGCCGACGTACTTTATGGAAATGTGTACGTTGTGTCTCATATTACTACTCGTCTCCCCCGCAAAACAGTCGTCTGTAGGATAGGGTACAGTGATCTCTGTTTTATAGACAAACCAGGGCTTGGGGGCGCTCACTGAACCCACACAGCTAGCAGAGGTGGAACCCATGGACTTTGCTTCTGCTGCTGTCTGTGCAGGGTGAATGTAGGACAGGGAGGACCAAGGGGTGGGAGAGAGGAGAGATAACGGGAACCATCCCTTAGGCTGCAGAAATGTGGTTATGTAAAAATCTCACCAGATGTGCTTTCTCATAGGATCTGGGGGCAGCCAAATGGTACATTTTTCTCTTGACATTATAGAGGACTGTGGGATTTATTTTTATTTTGAAAACAGGGCAGTTCTTTTGGAAATGGGAAGGAGTGAAGACTGGAACTTGAGAAAGTGTTCTATCCTGAGACTGCAGAAAAGGATGGAGAGAAAGGAATTCAGCTGGGTTTGTTTGTTCTGCTTTTATTTAAAAGAAGATTTAGCATCTTTCAAGGGAGAAGAGCTGTGGGAATAGAAGGGATAGTATGAGGTATAAAGGGCAATTTCTGATCTGGTTTGACCTTGCTCAGTGATCAGATGGTTTGGGGTTCTCATGCTGTGGGCTCTCGGCTGTGGGCACAGCTGGTGGTGCTGGCCCTCTCATTCTGGGGTGAAGTGGCTTGGCAGGCTTATTCTCTGCATGGAGGCCTACCTTGTGAGTGTGAACACATTTTCTAGAGCCAGAACATTGACTCAGCTAGTTATCTCAGTAGCAGGGGGAGTGCACAATTTATTTTAAAAGAAAACCTGAGAACCTCTTTTCTTCTCATCCCAGGAAGCCCCTCATCCCTGTCCATGTTTAAGCCATCACCTACAGGCTTTAGGTTAGACTTAGACAGCTCTACCTGCGTGAGCTAAGAGGGAGTTGAAACACTGAAGTGAGGCCCAGTATGGCTGAAATCTCTTAGGAATGAAGAAAAAAGAAGTGTAGCAATTGGCATTTTAATGTAATTTTTTTTCTCATTGTAATGTTTAATTTCTTTTTTATTTATTTATTTTTTGAGACAGAGTCTCGCTCTGTTGCCCAGGCTGGAGTGCAGTGGGGCGATCTCAGCTCACTGCAAGCTCCGCCTCCCAGGTTCACGCCATTCTCCTGCCTCAGCCTCCCAAGTAGCTGGGACTACAGGCACCCGCCACCACGCCTAGCTAATTTTTTGTATTTTTAGTAGAGACAGGGTTTCACCATGTTAACCAGGATGGTCTCGATCTCCTGACGTGCTGCACCCGCCTCAGTCTCCCAAAGTGCTGGGATTACAGACGTGATTCCCACTTGGCCTTGAGTTTTTCACTGTGAGATGGCAAGAGGTTTCATCTGGTTCAGAGGTAGGGGAATGAAACCTCTCAAGTTCCTTCCAGCTGTGGGATTTGGGGTTTTTGATTTTTTCCTAGTTGACCCCACCCTGAGTTCCCAGGTGTTTCAAAAGCAAAATTTTATGCAGGATCAGCGTCAGAGAGAACCCAAAAGAAAGTCCTGTCTTTGAATGGATGTATCATGTCCATTTGCACCTTGCTGACTGAGACAGGAGACAGATGAAAGTGGATGAGGACACGTCTTTCAGGAGTTTCAGGCCTCCCAAGCTAACCAGAGAAATGCCTGTCTCTTTTCAGAATAAGCGAAGAGTGTAGCAGCCCTCCTGCCCTCCCTCCTGGGACTGCAACTCACAAATGTCAGTTACTATGGATACGGGCAACTGAGGCTCCCCTGGGGCAGGGGCAGAGGTGGAGGCTGTTTGTGGCAGTGATGCAGGGTAGTGTCGCTGTGTTCCCCACAATGGTGCCTCAGCATGGCAGGCAGGGACCGGCTTTGCTTGAGCCTCTACCTTGGCCCTAGGGACTGGACCCCAGGTTGACCAGCAGATGCATCTGTTGAGCCACCCCTGGGGGTGTGTGCCCCTGAAGTAGGCGACACCTGTGCAGAGCCGCTGGGCATTAAGTGGCAGGTAGGGCACAGTTCAGGTTGGGGAGGCCTCTCTATTGGTGACAGATGCATAGCTCCCTCCTCTTTTTTCTGATTGTATTAAAAGTAATGGCAAAAATTGCAATTACATTTGCACCAACCAAATAGAGCCTGCTAGGCTAATGCTAGTAGTTCCTCTGCTCCCTGGAGCTCATTTCTGGGTTGGAGTCACTATCCAGTTGAGCTTTACTATGAGTGGGGCCTTGTCCTGAAGACAGAAGGCAGCAGCAGAAGGTAGGGAAGAGCTTCTGGTATGAGACGGGAGACACAAGCCCTGCCGTCAATGAGCTTCAGTCTGATGGGGGGAACCACGGGTTCCTGAAGAACACGGGATAGTAGACAAAAGACAGAAGGAAAAACCCATCAGTCCCTTGTTTCTGACAAAGATTCTTTGCTTGACAAAGATTCTTTGCTTGACCAAACTTTAGCCAGGTTCCTGAACCTTCCGCTAGGCCTACCTCGGCACTTCCTTATAAAATCCAGTTTTAGCAAGAACCCTGCTAAGTCAGTTTGACAAGAACCCCCCACCTTGGATATCTGATCACCCTTGATATCTGACTAGGTTCCTCATCCTCCACCACTCCCCAGGTGATGTCTGATCACCCTGGCCTGTTTGCAGCAGGAATCCTGTTCGGTCTGTTTAGCCAGAATCCCCCTTACTCCTGATGTTTCCTCTTAGTAATTTTCCATCCACCAACCCCCACCCTGCTTCTTGGCTATAAATTCCCACTCACCCACGCTGTATTCAGAGTTGAGCCCAATCTCTCTCCCCGACTGAAAGACCCTATTGCAGTGCTCCCTGCACCTATCTGGATGGTCCTGAATAAAGTCTGCCTTACCACGCTTTAACAAGTGGTATTGGATAATTTTTTTCTTTAACATTTCAACCCACCCCAACCCCTGGCCATGCCTTCCTTCATGCTTCCCCTAAAGTCAGGCTCATCTCCATGGTATACAAGGCACTGCATGATCTGGCCCTCCCTACCCTGCCCCACAGTTCCCCCTGCTCTGCCGGGCTGTCTTTAGGCTTTTCCTCAATGTTCCAGCCAGCTCTAGCCTTGGGGCCTTTCCTTTTTCTTCCCTCTGCCTTAAGCTATTCCCCCCCTCACCTCCCAGTTCGCTCCTTTATTTTATTTAAGTCTCTCTTTGATATCACTTCCTGACCACCCTATGTAAAATCTGCCCTTTCTTTCCCCACTGTGTATTTCTTCATAGCACTTCCCCACTACCTGCACTTACGTCTCTGTTTATTGTTTCATGGCCCGTCTCCCCCACTGGAAGGTAGGCTCTGTGAGTGCTGGGACAATGTCTTGTTTACCCCTGAATCCCATTGCCAAGAGCATTGCCTGGCACCTGTGAGGCCCTCGGTAAATATTTGATGAATAAGTGAAAACTGTAGCTCAGTGTTTCTCACTGAATTCTGGGAGAATGTTTACCATGTGCTTTTCTATTATTTTACCAGTTAAAAGACAAAACTTCTCTTTTGCAATTCTAATTTGAAATTGAAAGATGTTTTTCATAAAAGTGGATTTTGGTTTCTTAGGATAGTGTCTCTCACACTGGGGTATATAGACGCCCGGGGTTCTCAGGTATGCTCATGGGAGTCTGGGAGGTATTCTTTCCTTTGGAATACGCCTACATATGAGTCAAGTTTGGGAAAACCCGTGTATAGCTGCTGGAGGCCATGGATAAGGGCTGAAGGTCAAGCATAAGGGCTAGAGGTAGGGTGTGTTGGAGTTGTCTCCAGAGAACTTTCTAGAAAGCCGATCTTAAACAGTAGTTACAAGGAAGGGGTGAGCCTCAACACAGGATAGAATGGCACTGGATGACTCGCACTGGGAGCCCAGCTTATGTGAATGCAGAGAAGCTATATGTGGCAAGCACTATAGGCCATAAGGGGCTTGGCTGAAACACGGCAGCCTGACTGAATAGGAGTTTCAACTTGGATAGAACAAGGTGCAGAGTTGAGGGCACTTCATACCCCAAAAGTCGAAATTTGAGTGAGTGACAGCTGTGCAGGGCTGGGGCGGCACTGGAGCAGCGACCCATAAACTCTGCTTTCTAGCCCCTTCCCCATCACTTACATCCCATTGAAGTCATGTCAGCATGAAGGCCCCACCAGGGAGCATCGACCCCGCTCTGTGGCCTGTGCAGCTGGGGTGTGGAGTATATGTGCTCAGGAGTCAGCTGGCAGGTGGAAGATGACCCAGCCCTCCGGAGGATGGTCCCCAGCTCACCAGCTTGCAGTCCTTTGTTTAACCAGGAACCTAGCAGGCCAGAGGTCAGCATTTTTCTTGGAAGACTGTCAAAGCATGCCTGTAGCTGAAGAGGAGCAGGGTCAGATTCCCAGGGAGTGGGCCAGCATAAGGTCCTATCACTGCTTAGTTCTGCACTGTCTGCAGTCTGGCTGGTGCCAGCAGCATGGGATTGGCAGGGCAGCTTCCATAGTCTGGCCATAGAACCACAGGCCTGAGCCACTGGAAGGCCCTTTACAAGCCACACAGTGACCTCCATGCTGCAGGGATGAGTGGTGCCTGAGTCCCAGAGAGTTACTGGAAGATCTGAGACCTGAACCCGGATGTCCTGACACCTAGCGTGGTGCTCCCTCTGCCATCTCCTGATCAGGACAGGGAACCCAGGTGGGTAACCCAGTGGGGAACCCAGCATAACAGTGCCTCGACATCTTGGTTTTTCCCTCCCCTGCGTCTCACACAGAAGTATTAAGTTGACGTTGGGAGGCTGAAATAAATGCATCCCACTCTCTGCTGGAGTGACAGTGATTCTCCTTGGACATGTAGCTATAATGTGGCTCTCTCACCCTGTCAGGGCCTTGGGTGTTTTCAGGGGTGAGGGGTGTGTGTGGAAGGACTGTGATTCAGGAACTTTCAAGCCTCAGGGTAGCATCTATATGTAGGGCAGCTTGTACAGAAAGGCTGCTGGGCCTGGGGAGAAGGAGGTCTATGCCACTCAAGGTGCTACCTTTTCTCTGTCAGCTGCTTTTTCCACCTCCCTCTGGTTCTTCAATGGTCAGCAATCTCATTGGTGGTCCCTGAAGTCAATACCCCTTGGGTATTGAGAGCCTCTTCTTCCCTGGCCCTGGAGTTTAGGAAGGCAGGCGAGGGAATGGAGCTGAGGTAGAGAGAACCACCTGCGGTAGAAGATAGGCTGAGGGTGTGTTCTAACTTCTTAACTTGGCAGGGAGTGATGTCTGGATGTTAAGACCTCTGCTTTTGGAGTCCAGGACACCTAGATTTGTACCTGAGCCCCTCCCCTGACCTTGAATAGGCTACTTACTTAGCCTTTGTGAGCCTCAGCTTGAAAAATGGAGTTAATAGCCCCTCGCACATAGTACTGTTCTGAGGATTAGCTGAGGTCGTGCATATCAGCAGAGTACCGTTTGAGTGCCCAGCACACAGTAGGCATATATGATCATGTGATAACATCACCATCACCATCACCACGTGATGGCTGGGTGCCTGCACTGCACCCACCAGCATGCTGGGTGCTATGGGAAATAAAGAGAGTGCCACACTTCAGCCATAGAGCGCATGGTCTTACTAGAGAGAGAATCACACAGGAAAGAGAGGATGTGCCAAACTAAGATTGAGAGATTTAGATTATGGGATATTGGGAGAGATCCATAAAGAAGTAGCTGGGCACAGTGGCTCACACCTATAATCCCAGTACTTTAAGAGGCTGAGGCAGGAGAATCACGTGAGACCAAGAGTTTGAGACAGGAGGATCACTTGAGGCCAAGAGTTTGGGCAACATAATGAGACCCCCATCTTTTTTTTTAATATGTAAAATAAAATAAACTGAAAAAGATGATTTTAAAGACCTTTTGAGGAGCCCAGGGTGGGAACAACTTGATAAATATTCAAAATAATATTTCACTTTTAGTATCTCCTCTCACCCACCCATCACCCCTAAAGTGAACATTTTAGAATAACACAGTGTGGAACAAGGAGGAAATTGTTCCAGCCGTGGGCCAGCAGAAGTCCTGAGTGGCCAGGAGCCCGGGGAATAGAACCCTTCACCTTCACCCTCCCCTTTGCCCTGTGGGGGGGGAAGCATGGTACACTGGGCACCTCCTTGCCAAAGTCCAGAAAATCTGTGTGGCTAAATGGTGAAAGAATTTTCCACCCTCTTTGCCCTCACTGGACTTTGTGGGATGCTAGAAATATTTTGCAACCCACCGTCAGAGAAAGAATTGACCAGGGCTGGTGCCAAAATATTCAGTACATTCAAAAGAGTCTTTTGTTTTATGAAGAAAGTGACTGGGCTGGGAGCCTCGTCTTCTGATTTGACATCACAGCCTGGTGGGTGGGGCCTTCTACTGATCCTGTCCCCACTCCCTGGTTCAAAGTTCCTTAGCCTAGTGAAGATTCTTTAGGAAAGCTAAGTTCTGGTTCAGTTTGTGAGTTCCATAACCTTAGACACATTCTTCACCCCCTTTGGCATTCACTGCTCATCTGTGAAATGGTGAGACTATTCCACTCCTGTCGAAGGGTGAGTTCTTGTTCCCCAAGAATGACCTCTTGTTCCATTTCCAGCTCTCAGGTCTGAGCTTGCATGAAGTGAGTGTTGCCCCTTTCCAGATGGGCACTCTGTGATGTCAAACATGTAATTCTGTCATTATCCGAAACACGTCTGAGCTATGCTTTCGAAATCGCTTTCGAGGCTGCAGCACATTCTTTGAATATCCTCAGGGATGGGCAGTCTTCTTCCTTTTAGAGGGAATTTGATTTCTGCAAGCCGCCTAATCAGGACAATAAGTCTAGGCTCAAGCTAAATGAAGATACTTTTAGTTCCAAACAAATGAAGCTGATTTCGTTCAGCTTCTAAACTGACTCAGCAGTCGGTTCCAAATAAAGTTTCAAAAATGCTTTAAGCAAGAACTGCATCATTAAAACAGCAGGTGGTAGGCTATTATAACTTTTAAGGACAGCACTCATTTGGACTTTTAAAAATTATGATTTTTAAAAAAAATTAATTTGCTACTTTATATTTACATCTCATTTTTGTAAAAAGTAATTATTCTCTTTATTCCTATTCATTTGCTAATGTGTTTTTATGTGTCTGGCTGTTTATGCTTTTTATTTCCATAAAAATGTGGCTTACTCAGATCACTATTAGCTATAAAAACATAAAATGTCCTAGCTCAGTGGTTCTCAAACCTATCTCAGCTTGTTCAAACCTAGACTGCTGGGCCCACACTCAGAGTTCCTGATTCGGGAAGTCTGGGAGGGGCCCAATAATTTGCATTTTTCATACGTTCCCAGATTCTGCTGCAGGACCACAAGTTGAAAACCCCTGGTCCAGCTGAGGTGCTTTGGTCATCTAGTTCAACCCCCTTGTACAAATCAGTAAACTGAGGCCCAGGGAGACGCAACTCCCTTGCCTAGTGTTATAGAACTAGTTACTGACAAAGTTGGAACTGGAGCCCAGGGATTCTGTATGCCCATTCTAGTGCTCTAAAATGATCATTTCTTGGTTGAAGACTTCTTAGCATGACTGTAGGTTCTTACCATTTTGCAGGACCCTATCGAATTCAAATATTCCAGCCTGTTATCCTTTTTAGCACAACTGTGTCATGATTTTTATTTCATCACAGGAAGAGCCTGTGTTTAATTTGCCTCATTAAAAAAAATTGTGATAAAATATACATAATATAAAATGTACCATTTTAATCATTTCAGTTGTATGGTTCTGTGATATTAAGTACATGTATGTTGCTGTGTGCATCTACATTGCCGCCATCCATCTCCAGAACTTTCTCATCTTCCCAAAATTAAAACTCTACTCATTAAACAATAACTCCCTATTCCCTCCTCCCCCAAGCACCTGGGAACCGTCATTCTGCTTTCTGTCTCTATGAATTTGACCTCTCTAGGTAGGTCATATGAGTAAAATCATACAGTATTCGTCCTTTTGTGAGTGGCTTATTTCACTTAGCATGAATGTCTTCAAGGTTCATCCAGGTTGTAGCATGAGTCAAAATTTCCTTCTTCCAAATACTGAATAATAGACCTTTATTTGCATGGATATACCACATTTTGTTTATCCATTGTCAATGGACATTTGGGTTGTTTCCACCTTTTAGCTTTTGCAAATCATGTTGCTATGAACATGGGTGTACAAACAGCTCTTCAAGTGCCTGCTTCCAATTCTTTGGCATATCTGTACCTGGATATGATGTGGAATTGCTGGATTATGTGGTAATTCCATGTTTAATTTTTTTGAGGAGCCTGATTGGCTTTTTTTTTTTTTTTTTTTTTTTTTTTTTTGAGACAGGGTCTTACTCTGTTGCTGTCACCCAGGCTGGGGTAAGATCATGGCTCACTGTAGCTTCGAACTCCCAGGCTCAAACAGTCCTCCCACCTCAGCCTCCCAAGTAGCTGGGACCACAGGTGTGTACCACAACGCTCAGCTAATTTTTTATATTTTTTGTAGAGCCAGGGTTTTGCCATGTTGGCCAGGCTGGTCTCAAACTCCTGGGCCCAAGCAATCAGCCCGCCTTGGCCTCTGAAAGTGCTGGGATTACAGGCATGAGCCACCATACCTGGCCCCTGATTGGCTGTTAATTCTGGGAGTTGGAGGCTGGAAATACAGCTCTGTTCTTAATAAATTGGTGGGTAAACAGAGCCTGAACAGTCCCTGGCTCTTACCCATCTGGTGCTACTCTTGGTGCTCCCCTGAGGCCTTGTGATAAAAGAGACCCTGTTATTCACAGTTCATGGCCGGAGGCTGCAAATGGTCTCTAGGGTTTTCTCTCTTCTCCCCCTTGGCTCTCTCTGATTTCCGTGTCACCAGTTTCCATCCATATTTGTCTCCCTCTTTGCCTTTGGGCAGTTATCTGCTTGTATTTCTGTCTACCAAATCTAGCCAACCCCAAAGCACTCCCACTGTACTGCAGAACCAAGTCTGGAACCAATGGGTCAGCTTCATTACACTTGCCAAAAGACAAAATTACAACAAATTTAGTTAAAGATCGAATTAGCTTTTATTTGTGATCCTAGAATTGGGCAATACCTCATTCTTTAAAATGGAATGAGTGTTCCCATGACCTGAGCAGAGGAGGTTGGCTTTATAAGCAGAAAAAAGCTGAAGAAAACAGTCACAGAGAACAAAAAGCAGATTGGTCATTTCAAACTAACTGTCCTTCTAGGGTTAAAACAGAGGGGACTTCCTTATGCTGACTCAGGTTGACTGGAATCTTCTGGATTTTTGAAAACTGGCCCATTTCAAAGTTTGGTTTGATTCCATGGCACTGAGCACAAGTGACCTCGCATAAACTTTGTTTAATACACAACACCTTAAATTCTGTAATGAAATGGGATTGTAATCTAAGGAGGCAGTATGCCAGGTCATGGGGTGGGAAGACCTCCCATATAGTAGAGATTTTAAAATGCTTACAGAATTAAATGAATGAGTATGACAAGATGGCAAGAATGCTGTCAGGCAGAGCTCTAGGGCTGGCCATTTTGTAGGAAACAGCCAATTACATGGGTTGGTTTTCACCACAATCCAGCAGTCTGGGGATCCACCAACTCTAGGGAACCCTGTGCTGCCCTAGAGTTAGAGGAGGCAATGGGGAAGCCTCATGCTTTCTGCTTCTGAATGATCCCAGCTTGAGAGTTGAAGCACGAGTCTTCCTTGGGGTTCACCCTGGTTGGGATGCTTCCCGTGGGTTGTCAGGCAGTGAGTCCAGGAGTCAGCCGTGTTTCAGGAGCTCAAGGGCAAGAACGACCAGGCTTTGGTTTTGTTGATTCGAGGTTTCTGCCTGTCTGCACAACCTCGAATTTCTCTTACCTGATTTCAGGGAATATTGTGAAACTCTAAAACCAAAACTATTATTTTTTACATTTAAGGAAACTTAAAATGATACAATATTCTTTTCCTAGGTGATTTACAAAATCCTTCTGTCAATGAAGTTAAACTAATAGCAGCCAAGTATAGAGCCCCCATAAGGCTTGTTTCCACATCACCTTCCCAACTTTCCCAGGATCAGTTAACTGAGTGGATAGGTTACTTTAAAGAAAATGTTTTGAAGCAGCATGATGCCTATTATTGATGTCATCAGAAATTACCCTTTTGGTGATAGTACAAGTGCTTCATTACGCAGGTTAACAGGAAAAGTGAAGCAGGTGTGGTAGTTAATCCACAAAATCCATATTGGCTCAGAATAGCAGGTTATTTTGTGACAGCAGAAGCTACCACCTTTCTGAATAGTCTTACGGTGTTCACTTTTACCCACACACTGGTGAATATCTTCTCAGCCCTGGGGACTTTGTGTTTCCCTTCCTCCAGGCTATGTTCCCTGAAGGAGGTAGTCTAGACGTCCGCCCCCAGTGTGCAATATCCTTGTTTCCTTTCCTCAATTAGAATGGAGGCTTCTCAGAGATCCCAGATCCCAGAAACAGTCCGGGAAGGCCAATGTACTGGGTGGTAATTGGTGAGATTTATCTGGCGGCTGGGAGCTGTCATCAGGTTTTCAGAGTACAAATTTGTATTAATAGAATCCATTAACATCAGTGCTTGCAGCAAATTGTAACCAGACTCCACCTTATCACAGCACCATGCTACTGCTTCAGAGGGTAATTCCCCTCCGGCAGCCGACTTCTCTTTCCTGCTGTTCTGTGTGTAAAAATGAGAGGATGTTTATTTCCTCGGGGCTGTAACAAAGTCATCAAATGAGACCAAAAAGGTCTTTGTGGGCCTCCCCTATCTCTGAGAGCTGCTCTGGTGCCATCTGCTTAGGGTGAGGCTGAGCACACAGGCAAATTGGTTGACTTGCCTGACAGAAGATGTAGGGGAAGAGTTGTTTCTTATTTAAAATCCCCTGAGGTGGAGGCTGTGCGATGACCCCTGGGTAACACCTATCCCTTCCTGCATCCATCCATTCACGCAGGTTGTGTTGGCTGCACATGTGCTCATGCTGAAGCAGCCCAGAGTGCAGAGCTGTGAGACCTGCTGCATGCCTGCCCAGAGCCCCCATGTGATTGAGGGATCCAGACGGCACTATGTGAAAACCTAGGAAGCAATACAGGGCAGGCCTGGGGGCAACCAACCCCATCCTTTTATAAGTAAATAAAGTGGGCACGGGAAACTTAGCTTTTTCTCTTGAACTTGGTATGAAGAAAAATCAGAAGGGGAGAAGGGAAACATTTTCAGTAGCTTAAGTAAAGGTCCTTGAGAAAAAGGATGCCTGGTGTCTTTGGAAAGCAGGGAGGCACTTTTTTTTTTTTCTTTTTTTTTGAGATGGAGTCTCACTCTGTCGCCCAGGCTAAAATATAATAGCATGATCTCTGCTCACTGCAACCTCTGCCTCCCAGGTCCCAGCTATTCTCCTGCCTCAGCCTCCCGAGTGGCTGGAATTACAGGCGCCCACCACCACACCTGGCTAATTTTTGTATTTTTAGTAGAGACAGGGTTTTGCCATGTTGGCCAGGCTGGTTTCTAACTTCTGACCTCGGGTGATCCACCCGCCTCAGCTGCCCAAAGTGTTGGGATTACAGGCGTGAGCCACCGCACCTGGCCAGGGAGGCACTTTTCTAAGAAGTGGGTGGTAGAGGGAGTGATAGTGGCATGCATCCCCTGATGCTCACCCAATGGTCTCACCCTGGTAGTGGGCCAGGCCTTCTCCCAAGGATAGTGGGATGAGCCAAGAAGGTATTACTTCAATTCAGGGCCAGAAATTTGGGTCTCCATTGAAGCAGCTAGACATAAGGTGCCTAAAGTCATACTTGAGAGTAGAATGTAAAGGTCTCTTCCCTGATTGGGTCCTAGGTCACTTGGCATCTTGGCATGGAATCCCTAGAAAGCAGAACCTCGGGCAAGGCTTATGTGTTACAACTTTATTAGGGAGTGCAATCCCAGAGAACAGAAGTGAAGGAACAGGCAAGAAGGGCGAGGAGAGGATGAGCCAATATGAGGATGCCCCCACTTCCTGGTCTCAAACCCAACCAGTGGCTCAGGCTATTGGAAGTGTAGAGATGGACTGTTGCTAGGGACAGTGCATCAGGAGAAGGGCCACCCTTTCCCACTGGTCAAAGTTTCAAACCATGGGTCATTAATTCCCCTGAATTTCTGGGTTGCACATGCCTGGGATCTCTGAATAGGTCCTACTTTATCTCACCCCTCATTGTCAATAAGAGGCCCTAGGGCTAGAAGCAAGAGGTGCAGGAAGCTAGGCATACGTCGTGGCACTGTGGGGTGGTGCCTGTATGAAGTGGGTAGCTCTTGCAGAGATAGTCACTACAGCGGTATTTGGAGCCCTGTAAACATGTGCCTGAGAGCATCTGAAATGGCACTGGACCACACACCTCTATAGCACTGTGGATGGGCATCAGGATAGATTTTCTTTCAGTACTGCCAGGAGTGTGGGGCACAGAGTGGGGCTGGAGTAGGTTGGTCCAGGAAACATTATTGTTTTCCTATGGGGGACTCCTTGCAGGCTTGATGAAATGCCTGGCAAGTCCAGAGGAAGGACACAGAGATGAAGAGGCACGTTGCCCAGGCAGGCAACAAGCATGGCTGCCACTTACCTGCTGCAGCCAAAACTTACGGCCAAACTAACCCAGTCTACGAGGAAACCTAGTACCATAATCTTCTCCAGCCCTAGCCTCCATGGAGCCCTGTACCTAGCCTAGGGAAGAAGATACCATGGGCTCCTCTGTTATTACTGAGCATCAGGAATGTGCCTTGTATGCTGTAGGCATGCATTTTTTTAAGTAAATGAGTAAGCCCCATAGCAAGCAATTTTAATCACAGGAAGGTGGCTCAGAGTTGGTAAAAAGGAAATATATTAAGGGAAAGTGAGTTCTCTGATGCTGACTACACATTTGAGGACTGTTTTTGCTAGGTTAGCTTAACCCTTCTTTATCCACCTTGAATAGTTAACCCCTTCCTTTCCTGAACTCTTAACGACTTTCAGTTCCTTAGCAAATGTAGCAACACTGTCTGCTCTAGTATCCACTGTCTTGTTGCATAACAAGCCACCCCAAAACTTAGTGGCTTAAAACAACCATTTTATGTATTCACAATCTATGAGTCAACAAGTTAAGCTGGGCTCTGTTGGGAGATTCTTCTGATGGCCATGTCAGGTGTCACTCATGTAGCGACAGTCATCTGGTGGCCCCAGTACAGCTGGATGATCTCAGATGGCCTCACATGGCTGACATGCACTGCTGTCAGCTGGTTGGTCTAGGGCTGTGCTGTCCAAAATGGTAGCCACTAGCCCATGTGACTATTGAGCACTTGAAATGTGGCTGACCTGAATTGAGATGAGCTGTAAGTATAAACTTTCCATGTTTAATGTAAACTATCTCGTTAATAGTTCTCGATAGTTCTTATGTATTGATTAGAAGCTGATAATATTTTGAATCTTGGGTTAAATAAAATACATTATTAAAATTGAATTGATTTCACCTGTTTCTTTTTACTTCTTTAATATGACTATTACAGAATTCGGAAAAATCCCATTTGTGGCTTACACTATCATATCTCTATTGGACAGTTACTGGGTTGTGCTAAAGCACGCCCACCTGGCATTTGACCCAGATATTCTAAGGTTCTAAGGAAGTCTGTATCATCCATGGCTACAGCAAAGCAAAACTGTACCATGTGTCTTGCAGAAACTCAAGATGAATGTTGTTAGGAAGCAAAAAAACAATGACTAGGTTTCATAGTAATCCCATGAGACTTGAACTAAAGAATCTGTAGGAAGCAAGAATGTAAGGGATAGAGTAAATAGATACTCTGGAGCCAAAATATAGGAGTTGGGTGTGGGAGACTTGGAGAGGGAGAAGAAGCTGCTTTTCAAGTCTAGCTGGTGAACATGCTAGATGGTGTTATTCACTGATAATGTGACTGTAAGGAGGAAGAGAAGATTTGGTAGGATGATCATGGGTCTGGTCTTAAATATGTTGTTTTTAAGGTCCCAGTGGAGATCCAAGTGGAGATAGTTACTGAACAGCTGAAAATATAGATTTAATGGTGGGAGAGATGCTTGGACATGAGAAATCAATATGGGAGTCATTATTGAGCAGGAGGTGATTGCAACCATTGGTGAAGATAAGATTTCCCAGGGAGATTGTGGAGACTAAGAGCATCTCTGAGAGTGGCACCTGGGAAATGCCCATGTTTGAAGTACAGAGAAAGGAAACAAACGTCTGCAGAATACCAAGAAGTGATCTAGCAGCAGGGCCTAGTACCAGATCTAAAATTGCTAAAGAAAGAGAGGAAGCAAGATTCCATGGTGAGCCGTGTGTTCTTCATCTTTTTGTTCCCCAAAGGGCATTATACAAAGAAGACGCACAATTAATGTTTGTCGAATTAGATGAAGTTGCATTGTATTGCGCTGCACTGTATTGCGCTAACTCAAGCTCTGCTGCCTCCTGGGCTGCTCTGGCAGTTTTAGGCTTTCCCCCACTCTGTCAAGCTTCTCCCCCTTTGCCTCTCTTATTCAGTAAGTCCATTATACAGTAAAGCTTTGTTGCCCAACTAAATATTTTAGGAACTTAGTAAAAGCTGGTGTGAATTATGTCACCAATTCCCATTTGCCTGCCTTTAGATGGCTAACAACGCCCAGATAGCAGAGGCTGAAGGAAAAGGACATTAATGACCTCTCATAACAAGTAGTCTGGATGTAGGTGCTTTCAGATTTGGGGCAGGACTTCAGTTATAAAGGACCCAGGCTTTTTTTGCCTGGCCACTTTGGAATCTTCAGCTTATCAACTCTTTGTACCTGGATGTATCACCTCATAGTTATAAGCATCATGTCCTAAAATAGTCAACTTCTTGGTAGGAATAAGATATCAGGCCTCTGCTGTATCTTTGGCAGAGATTAAAAAAATATTTGTCAAAAGTTTCCCCAGCTGACTTCCTCATGCCTCATTGGCCAACTTGGCCATATGCCCATCCTTAAACCAACTACTGGCAAAGGGGAATGTTATTATCATGCTTGGCTTAGCCAAATCATGTCTTATCCCTTGGAGCTGGGGAAGAAGATGGGAATGGCTGTTGGGTAGGAGGAAATGCATTTTGTCTTCCATACTCATTTTTAGGGGATGGGGTTCCTTGTAATTTAGTTTCAAAAACATTCAATTCAACATTTATTGAGTGCTTACTGTGTATCAAGAACAGTTGTTTTACCATTGAGGCAAATATTAATTACAAAGAGCCTAGATATTAGCATGCTGAGTAGATCCTTCTGCCTACCACCTCTTGTTGGCCCTCTGTTATTCCTTGGAATTCTTTCTAGTTGGGATGCTAAACCAGTCCTCTGCCCTCCTGGCCTCCCCTTCAGCTCCTCCCTTTAAAACATTTTACCACCTATTCCCCTTTTGATTTTTAATCAGTCTCCCTCAGTCTCACCTTCCATCAGTCAACCTCAGTGTCACCTTCAAGCTTGTTTTCTTACTGTTTTTCTTCCTGCATCATCCACTGTCTTCTGAGTCATGCCTTTCATTATGCCATTCTCAGGAGTCATCTGCTCACCTCTGCTGACTATTCCCGATTTGGACACCATCCCTGGCTCCAGAAGTTCTAGTGATTCCCTATTGCCTGTTACATGAGGTCTTTAGCCTGGCAGAAGGTTATCTACCTAATTACTAACAGTGTTGCCTCCAAAAGAGACTTGAATGAGAGAAGGGAGCATTGAGGGGTTTATTCACTTAATCTTTATTCTTTGAATCTTTTTACTGCTGGAATGTCTTCTGTGTTGCTTGCATAGTTTAAAAAAACTGAAAACCTCTAGTCTAACATTCCAAATGTTCTGTTTTTTCCAGTTCCTCTCCTACTACTCTTTTACACAAACTTTCCTCTCCATCCAAACTGGTATCCTTCCTGCCCATAAGAACAGCCTTGAGTTATTATTGCTCACACCACAACCCAATATCATATGACCCCTGCCTGTCCCTCCTGACTTACCTAATTTCTGCCACTACTCAAGCTTTCAAGACCCAGACTGTCTACACTTTACCCAACAGCCCCGTCCCATTTCCTGCCAGCCCCTTCCCACTACCACCAGCTTCTTTTAATTTCTTCCTTCTCTGAACTCCTGCTTCAGTTTTGCTGTAGTACATCAGGGATTGGCTCTGAACATGTCTGCCCCTTTGTGTCATTCAACCCTGCTTTTTTACTACTGCCTAATAGAGGATGTGCATCCATTCTCACAGCTTTTACTCATTCACCCCCTGATTTTTGCTGATGACCATGTATGTGGCTGGATTGACCACAACAGTGGGCAGTCAGGATTTCAGCTTACAAAGATGGGCTTTAAGATGTGATCTCCAGAAATGCATTGCCTATAAACTGGAACATCTGAACTATTCATTTCACTTTTAGATGTTTACTTCCTGGTAATATCACTGATATTGTAACCTTGAGGCATTATTTGAATACCACATTGTTACTTTTCAGTGCTGTATTTCCAAACCAGTACTCACAAATATCCTCATTTTTTAAATACTTAAGACCCTACATTTGAATTTGAGCATCTATGTTCCCAACCCCCTTTATGTAAGTGACTCCTCTAACATCATAATCACCTTCTTAGAGATATAGGATCCTCAGTCTTGGGTGCCTTCTTCAGGTTTCTACTTTCCTCCCCAACCTGTAAGAGGTTGAGAATGAAGGGAATTTGTTCTGCAAAGGGGATCAGTGTCCAATCTATTGGATTCCTTGAGATTATTTTGTTTAGGAGCTTCTGAGCTGCGAACAGCTTTGCCCACTCTCTGGCCTGGAAGAGATGGCATGGAGAAGGCCAAAAGGAACAATCTGGAGGAGAGGAAGTGGGGTGCGGTAATCAGAAAAGCTGAATGCAGAGAACTGAGGTGCATCGCCTGAAGCTGCCGCAAAATCAGTGGGAGGGGGAACATTGCAGCCCCCGCCTGTGGCTGCTGCTTGTTGGGTTTAGTAATTGTATTCTGAGTAGCATTTAGACTGGCATTTAGACGGGTCTAGAATGTGAATTCTTGCAGGGGAGGCAGCCAGCACAATCCTGCTTTGTTCCAGTTCTTTGAGGACTAAGAAAATAATTTTTAAAACAATAACCCTCCTTCCTGGGCTGTCACTTGTTTGTTTGCTCTGGGGACTGCCCAGTAACTCTTTGGTCTCTGTTATTTGTGTTTAAACTCTGTGTTTCTACCCACAAGTAGGAATTGGTAGAAGGAAGAAGGTAGAAGGAAGAAGGTTCATAGGAAAGGCTGGTGATGTATTAATTGTGCCATTCCATGTGTGTTGTACACTCAGGAAGGGACACAAGCCAGGGTCTCTCATTCATTTGTTCGTTTAGTCATCCATTCATCAAACACTTTCCAGGTCTTGGTTTTGTGTCTAGGCCATTGTGGGAACTATTTGTGGCAGCAAAGAAGTAAATATATGGTTTTTGACCCAAGAAACTATAATCGGCATATAAAAAAATTATTATTATTAATGGCAGCCGATGCCATTTATTGAATTCCTTGTACTCTGATCAGAAACAAAGCTAGAGACATTATAGATATTGGTCAGTTTAATCATCAGACATTTCTTGAATGCTTTTCATCTAGGCACTGCGCTAGGGGCTGGGATAGGGCAAGAAGCAGCCCGGGGCTCAAGTCTGGCAGGAATTACAAGAGTAATGGTAGGTATGCAAAGGGGCCTTTCCATTCTCAAAGGTGCTCCTTCTAGCAGCATCAGACTACCTGGAGCTTGTTAGAAATACTGACTGTAGGTTCCCCCCCTTCCCCCCGACCCAGACATGCTGATTCAGAACCTGTGCATTTTAACAAGGTCACTGGGTGTTTCATTCATGTGTACATTGAAGTTTGGGAAGCACTGGTGAGTAGCCTGGGATGTAGCTTGGTCTAGGCTAGGATATCAAGGAAGGCCTTTCTGAGGAAGTGACTTTTAAGCTGAGATGTGACAAATGAGTAGAGACTAGCTAGACAAGACAATGACAGATGGAGGGTGGGGTGAGTTCCAGGCAATAGAAGTGCCTGTGGGCAGGCTGGGACTATGAGGTCCTGTGTGATAGTGATAGCAGAGCAGAGGAGGAAACCCCGGAGCAAGGCCTTGTAAACCAGGCTAGAGTTTAAACCCAGTGATACGGAGAAAGGATTGGAGAGCAATCTTGTTCCCAATTTATAGACAAGGATGGGCTGAGAAATTTGCCCAAGGTCACACAGCTAATACTCACTGGTAAACTAATAAGAGCTGGAATTTATATCCAGTGCTCTAATTCTAAAGCTTATTTTCTTTTTCCTTTTTTTTTTTTTTAGATAGGGTCTCACTCTGTCACCCAGGCTGGAGTGCAGTGGCACAATCATGGCTCACTGCAGCCTCAACCTCCTGGGTTCAAGTGATTCTTCCACCTCAGCCTCCCGAGTAGCTGGGACTACAGGTGTGTGCCACCATGCTCAGCTAATTTTTTTTTGGGGGGGGCAGAGTCTTGCTCTGTCACCCAGGCTGGAGTGCAGTGATATGGTCTCACCTCACTGCAACCTCTGTCTCCTGGGTTCAAGTGATTCTCCTGCCTCAGCCTCCCAAGTAGCTGGGATTACAGGTGCGTGCCACCACGCCCAGCTAATTTGTGTATTTTTTTCAAAGAGACAGGGTTTCACCATGTTGGCCAGGCTGGTCTCGAACTCCTCATCTCAAGTGATCCACCCGCCTCAGCCTCCCAAAGTGCTGGGATTACAAGCGTAAGCCACCGCACCAAGCCGCCTGGCTAATTTTTAAAAATTGTTTGTAGAGATGGCGTCTCACCGTGTTGCCCAGACTGGTCTTGAACTCTTGGGTTCAAGCAGTCTTCCCACCTGAGTCACCCAGAGTGCTGGGATTACAAGTGTTGAGCTACTGTGCCCGGCCTAAAGCCCATTTTCTGAACCGCTGCATTAAGGTCATTAAGAAGACAAAATATACAGCTGATAAAATTTTGAATGCAGTTTTGTATTATTTAGGATTTGAAGAACCTTATAATAATCTGGCTTAAATTTAAAAGATGATCAAATTTAGTATAAAATAATAAAACCCATGAGAACCCAGGAGAAAATGTAAGTTCCATTTGAGCACACATTTTTCCCTCGAGTTTCTTAGGAAATATGGTATAAAAGGAAACCTTCTGTATAGATCGCTCTTTTTATCTGAAAGAATGAAGTAGACCTCTCTCTGAGGAAGAACTTTTTATTTTTCTTATCATTAAAGTGTAAGAGGAAGCATGAAGCAATGGATTGTGAGGGCAGAGCACTCTATGGCTGATCTGGGGTCACTTCTTTCTCTAGGGCTGCTGGGCTGAGTGAGCCCTGTATCCTTTCTTTCTGTCTATTCCCAGTGGGCCAAAAGGCAGGCGGGGAGACGGGGGAGCAGAGACCCAGTGCAGCCTCGTGTCCTCCACATCTCAGTCCAGACATGTAAGGGTTGAGCATCGGCACCAGCTCACACAGATCTCCTTTCAGGAGACTCACAAGGTCCCGTGTAGTTCATTGATTTCTAAAAGGACTAATTGGCCGACCCAGTCATTTTGGAGGAGCAGTGAAAGCATACCCCAGTCCTAGGTGTTGGAGGAGGTTAAATGAGGAGATAGGAGCCCTCAGGTTCTAAAGCTATTCTAAAGCTATTTGAGGATATGACCTTTAACCTTGGGGAGCTTCCAGTCTAATGGCAGAGACACAGCCCCTGCCTTCAGACAGCTCCAAGTGTGATGGGGGAGGCACAGCTCCTGCGAAGTCCGGACTGGAGGGGAGAAACAGACCTGCCCCAGGGAGCTCCCAGGCTGATGGGAGGAAGAGAGCATAGATAAAGAGTAAATAAGCACATACGTATCAAAGGTACTGAAGCTATTAAAAAAAGTCACAGCACCGCTGGCTCCATGCAGCCATCAGAGGGCTTTGGAACATGACAATCTGCTTCTTCTTGCCTTTTCCTGAACCACTGCAAAAGCCGTAAGTGCTCATTGCATCTGCAAAATTAGAAGCCAGTGGAAACAGCAACGTCCTCTTCATTAAGTTGGTTTTCTCTGCCCAGGGTTTATTTGAGGTTTCTGCTCATAGCCCTGGCAAGAGAGGAGAAGCTCCTGGGGCTGAGGCCGGCAGCTGGGCAACACTCAGCATCTCTCTCCTTTCCCCCAGTCCAAGCGCCAACTCCACTGGTACCAGTAGGTGAGACATTTGCCGGTTCCTGCCTCTAGAGAACAGCTGTGCTTTCCAGCAGACGTTCCAGAGCCCTGTCTAGCATACAGTATATTTGTCTGGCCTTGGCAGAAATGGAATCCTTCTGTCTCCCTGCCCTTCCTTCTCAAAAGCTCCCCTGGCAGCCGTGACTGCTGATGTTAGGGAAAGAAAGAAAGAAAGAGAACTTGAGGTCTTCTGAAAGGGATGTTGGATTCATTAGGAGGTGCTTGCTTTTGTCCCACAAATGACTTACATATCACCTTGAGCAAGTTCTCCATTTTCCCATCAGTATTAAACCAAGGAAGCATGGCAGAGAAGAAAGGTCACATGATCTGAAATCCTGAGACCCAGGTTCAACTCTTGGCTCTATTACTCCTAGCCACATGACCTTGAATAAGGGGATCCTATTTGTCCTCAGATAAAGGATTTTTAAAAATCATTTGAGCTTCAATTTTCTCATCTGTAAAGCGGGTGTCATGATAATATGTACTGTACTAAGTGGTTAGGATGATCCATTATAGTGGATGTGTTGAAATGCTTTGAAAATCTTAAAGCATTTAATAACCAGTGTTATTGTTGAGGTGGAGATGGCTACCCTTCCCTTTTCTCCACTCATGGTGTGTTGTTGATAATATTGAAAAAAGAATCAGACATGAAAATGAAAAGTTTATTAAAATATAAGATTAAGACTAGCCAAAATAAATACTCTGTTTGAGAGCCTGAGCAGTAGGAACAGTTAATTCATGGTCAATACTGTGCTTGGGCTGAGGGGGATAAAGGATAAATGGAAAACCAGATCTCAGGTTCAAAGAATTCACAGCCTACTGAGAGAAATAAGAACTAAGAATGGGAACAGTAATACATAATATTAACTGCTGCATTTCAAATTCCAAGTGCTGGGAGCTTCAGAGGTGTCAGGAAAGGCCAAATGAAGCAAACACTTTTTATTCTAGCTGCATGTATAAATGTATTCATTTATTCAACAAATATTTTTGGACCACCTTCTATAGACTGAACACTATTCTAAATGCAGGGGATATAGCAGTAAACAAAACAGATAGAATCGCTGTCTCTCAAGGAACTTATTTTTATGGGAAAAGACAGATAACAGGGAAAATAAGTAAAATATGTGTACATTAGGTGGTGCTAAGTGCTAGTGAGGTATAAATTAAGCAGGCAGGGGAGACAGGGAGTGCTGGGGGAGGTGGTTTGCAATTTCAGGTCAGGCAGCCAGGGAATTCCTCACTGAGAGGGGGACACTGGAACGAAGACCTGAGGGAGAAATATAGGCTAGCAGGCAAGAATGGTAGCTTAGACTAGGAGAGTAGTAGTAGAGGAATTGAGAAGAAAACAGATTAGTTTTTTTTTTCAAAGTGGAAATGGGGTCTTGCTATGTTGTCCAGGCTGGTCTTGAACCTCTGGCCTCTAGCGGTCCTCTCCTCTTGGCCTCCCAAAGTGTTGGGATTACAGATGTCAGTCACTGCATCTGGCCCAGATTCCTTTTAAAGATGAAGGCACTAGGATTTGCTGATGGCTTGGGTGTAAGGTGAGAGAGAAAGAGAGGAGGCAAAGAGCACTCTTGAGGTCTGTCATGAACTAAAATGGGAAAGGCTGTGTGTGGTGGGGCAGGGAAGTGCGGGGAGGAGCTGTGTTTTAGTTAGCAGCTCCGAGATGCCTGTTAGAAATACAACTGGACATGTCAAGTAGGCAGTTGGATATGTGAAGCTCAGGGGAGAGGTCTGGGCTGGAGATTTAAAACTGGGAGTTTCCAGTATAGAGATTGTATTTCATACTGTGAGTCCAGATAAGATCACCAAAGCAGAAGAGAAGAGATCCTGGGAGATCCTGGGGTACTCCAACCTTAGAAGCTGGGGAGAAGCAGAGGAACAGCAATGAGAAAGGAGGAAACCCGGGAGGTGGCAGTATTCCAGATGCTAAGTGAAGGATGTGTTTCAAGGAGGATGGAGTGCTCGCTTGTGTTAAATCAGGAATGATGAGAGCTTAGAGTTTATTTATTTACCATTGGACTCAGCACGTTGAGGTCATGGATGACCTTGACAAAATTTGATTGAGTTGTGGTGGGGGAAATCTTGATTGGAATGGATTTAAAAGAGGTTTGGAGAAGAGAAATTATAAGCCATAAATGTGGGCAACTCTTCTGAGGCCTTTCCTTGTGAAGGAAAGAGAAATAAGGCAGTAGCCCGAGGGGAGAGTGGGGGCAAGGGAGGCTCCTCAGGTTGGGATAAATCACAGCATGTTTGTAAGCTTCTAGGAAAGAGCCAGTGAAAAAGGAAAAGTTGAGGAGACAGGAGGTAGAGGAGGATTGCTGGAGCATTGCCCCAGAGCACTGTCCCTGGAGCAGACAGCTCACCCGCGGTAATGGAGAGAAGGTGGCACAGAGGGGCAAAGGCAGGCAGACGGATGCGTGAGGGGGCGGCACCTGTGCAGGTTCTGTTTTGGTGACTTGTTTTCTCAATCAAAGAATAAACAAGGCACTTACCCAAGAGTAAATGAAGGGAGAACCCCAGTTTCTCTAAAAAAAAAGAAGTGTGTAATCCCAACACTTTAGAAGGCCGAGGCGGGAGGATTGCCTGAGCCTAGGAATTCGAGACCAGCCTGGGTAACATAGTGAGACCCCGTCTCTACAACAAGTTTTAAAAATTAGTTGGGCATGGTGATACACACCTGTAGTCACAGCTATTCAGTAGGCTGAGGTGGGAGGATTGCTTGAGCCAAGGAGGTCAAGACTGCAGTGAGCTGTGATTGCACCACTGTCAGAGTGAGTCCCTGTCTCAAAACAAAAAAGGGTGTAAAGAAAAAAAGAGGGAGGCAGAACTTATATAATAGAATAAAAGAGGCCTATTACACATATCAACTAATACGTTGGCCTTATTTGGATTCTGACTCAAACAAACAGTAAAAATAAAAAGACATTTATGAGACAATTGGAAATTTGCACCATCAGTGGATATTTGATCCTATTAAAACGATTAATATTGGAGGTGAAATAATGTTATCAAGGTTACATTTTGTAACAGAGTCATTGTCTTTTAGACATAGATGCTGAAATATCAGTAGATGAAATTAGACAATGACATGGATTTACTTCAAAATAATCCAGTGGAGGGGTGGGGAGAAGGAAAGGTGGGGTGTGGATGAAGTGTGATTGCCTTTGGGTCAATAATTGTTGAAGTTGGCTGATGTGCAAGAGTCGTTATGCTTTTTCTACTTCCATGATACAAATTAAAACAAAGGAAAAAAGAAGAGGGAAGGAGATGCTGGGTGCTTAAGAGGAAAAGGGAAAGTTGGAATTGCCATCTGGGACTGCCAGTGAGGGGGAGAGGCATGTGACTGTCAAATGCCACGAAGGGCCCACTTGAGATTCAAGAGCATAAATTAAAAGTGAGGCCAGACGGCAGGGAGGTATGTGTGAATGTATTTCCGCAGCCATGTCCAGCGGCACATGCAGGCACAGAGTAGGTGGAAGGTTAGATTCGACCAGAGTTCTGAGTTTAGCCAACAAAATATGAGCATTGAGAATACCATTCTCCCATCATATTGATGACATCTCTGAGGACCAGAATTATGTCTTTGCTTCAGTGACATTGGGCTAATTTGACTAGATGATTGCCAAGTCCCCCCTACCCCCACAAGTTTTGACCAATTTTAATACTCTGTCCTCAGCACTTACAAATGATGTATTTGGTTGCATGAGCAAGACAAAAGGAGGGTGGTGGGTACAAGTGGCTCTAATTGCCTTGTCTCTCATTTTTCTACCCTTCTTTCCAAAGTGAAGGGTGCTCATCTTGGTTTGAGTGATCCCTCCCAGTGTGTTTGTGGCTGGGCCAGGAGTGACAGTCATGCCTCTTTTGAACGATGACCTCCCTGCCTTGCATCCTTGTTTTCACTTGTTAGCTTGGTCTGTGGAGGAAATCATTGAGGTCCAGTAGGGAAACAAAGCACTGCCTACAGAGGCCAGGTGTCTCCCATATCCCTGATTATAGCTGGGCCTTTGTGGGGTGTCCCCCTCAGCCCCTCCTGTCCATCGGCTTGTGATCTTTCCCAAGACTATTCCATCTGAGGCAGGAGCTTGGCTCTCATTGGCTCTTTTCTTCCCAGGTCCTACTTGCAGGACTGGGGGCCCAGTTGCTGTGACTTACCTGCTCCAGCTTCCTTGGAGAGAGATGTTTCATAAATCAGAACATGTCTCTGGCCAGGTCATGTTGACCGGTACAAATTTGTCTCTGACTCATGGCATGTTTTAAAACAAAGACATATTGAACATGTAAACTAAGTATAGCCAGTATGGTTTTTATTCCAATTTTTCTTTTGAGAATTATAGCAGTTTTCTGAGATAATCACAAGGGGAACTTTTTAAAGAAATCTCTGTGTCGTTTGCTTATCTTTTTATCTTTCACAGGGTTGTAGGGTGTTTGTTGAAATTTTGCTATATTGCCATGAACTAGGTTTCAGCATGGCATAAAAGGAGTGTAGACTTGGGAACACCAACCTGGGTTTGATTTTGGCTTTGCCACTCACTAGCTAAGAAACCTTGGACAAGTTATTTAACATCGCTAGGCTTCAGATTTCTTCTTCTTCGAGTTTTTCGTGTGTGTGTTTGTTTGTTTGTTTTGAGACAGGGTCTCCCTCTGTTTCCCAAGCTGGAGTGCAGGTACAATTTTGGCTCACTACAGCCTCCACCTCCCAGCCTCAGGTGATCCTCCTGCCTCAGCCTCCTGGGTAGCTGAGATTACAGACACATGCAACCAAGCCCGTCTAATTTTTGTATTTTTAGTAGAAACGGGGTTTTGCCGTGTTGCCCAGGCTGGTCTCGAACTCCCGGACTCAAGTGATCCACCCGTCTTGGTCTCCTAAAGTGATAGGAATGCAGGCATGAGCCACTACGCCTGGCCTAGGCTTCAAATTTCTAATGTGTAAAGTCAGCATAATAGTGTTTCCCTTGTTGGAATGTTGGAAGGATTAAAAGGGATGGTTACTCTAGAAATGGATGTCTGTTCTTAACTTTCCCTCACTGTTGTTGCCTTTTTTGACAAGCATGGCTGTGAAGGGATTAGAATGTAGATATCTCTGTGACCTTAAAGAGATCATTCCTCTTTGAGCTTCATTCACATTTCTTATCTATCTCTGCACCACTTTTCACATGACATTGAACAATGGAATCCAATTAGAGATTTCTGAGATCCCTTTCAGTTTAGATAATCTAGGTTTCCTTTGACTTATTGGAACAGCTTTTCTTTTATTTTTAGAGCTCAGGTGCACAGCACTGGGTTAATCATAATTGTTGGTTCATGACTCACTCTCATCATTGGTCCATGCAGGTCCCACTCTTTTTCTTTCTCTTTTATTTCTGCTCCTTCCTTCCTTTTCTTCCTATTCATCCATCCACCCATCTGTTTGCTTACTTATTTATAATAATATAATAAGTATCTACAAACCTACCACCCCCAACAAAAGCTAGGACCTTGATAATTAGCAAATGTCTAATCTTATGATTCCCTCGCCACCACCAGTACCACCAATCTATCCTCATTGCCTCCTCCACTACCAGAAGCAATTGTTATCTTTTGATTTTATTTTTAATTAATTATTATTTTTTTGAGATGAGGTCCTGCTATGTTGCCCAGGCTGGAGTGCAGTGGTGCAGTCATAGTGCATCATAGCCTGGAACTCCTGGGCTCGAGTCATCCTCCTGCCTCAGCCTCCTGAGTAGCAGGGACTGCAGGTATGCACTAGCACACCTGGCTTATTTTTAATTGTTTGAGAAACTGACCTGCTGTTTTCCTTAGAAGCTGCACTATTTTACATTCCCACCAGCAGTGCACAAGGCTCCAACTTCACATCCTTTCCAGCTTTTGTTATTTTCAGTTTTTTTTTTTTCATAGTAGCCATTCTAATAGATATGAGAAGGTGTCTCGTTGTGGTTTTGATTTGCATTTCCCTAAAGATTAGTGACTTTGAACGTCTTTTTATATGTATGTTAGCCATTTGTGTATCTTCTTGGGAGAAGTATCTATTCAAGTCCTTCGCTTTTTTTGTTTTTGAGTTGTAGTAATTATTCTCTTGAATCCTGTTTTCTTTTTTCTCTTTGCTTACATTATCTTATCGTATAGCATCCTAATTCACATTTTGACTTCTATGTAATATTTCATTGTTTGACTCTACCACAGTTTCATTATCCTTTTCTCTGTTGAACTTTTAGGTTTTTCCTAGGTTTCTGCTGTGGTGAATAGGACTGTGAGGAACATTTTTGTACCTGTGCAAGAGTGTCTCATGGGTATATATCTAGGAGTAAATTTGCTGAATCAGTTTGTGAATGTTCAACATTAGAGGTGATACAAAACTTTTCGCAAAGTGGTTGCAATATATAAGAAATATATAAGCAACAGATAAGAAATCCTTTGCCAACATTTGGTATCATTAGACTTAGTAATGTTTTCCAATTGAATGAGTGTAAATTGGTTTCTGATAATGGTCTTCATTTGCATTTCCCAGACCACCAATGTGTTTATTAGCCATATGTATTCCTCTTTGGTTCCTGCCTAGATGTCTGTTGGATTGTTTATCCTCTTATTAATCTGTGAATCTTCTTTATAAAATATTTAAAAATATTTTTATAGTCACTCATCGTGAGGTGTATCTTCATTGTTTTCTAGGTTTTAACTTCTCATATATCTTAAGGCTTTTTTCTTCCAAATGAGGTTTACTGAGTTATAAGTTACACAGAACAAAATTCACCCTTGCTAGGTGTATAGTCCTATGAATTTTGCCAAACACATAGAGTTATGTAACCACCACCATAAGCAAGATACAGAACATTTCCATCATCCCAGAAAGTTCTCTTGTACCCTTTTTTGGGTTAATTCTCTCCCCTTAATCCCAACTCTGGATAACCACTCATCTTTATTCTGTCTCTAGGGTTTGCATTTTCTAGAATGTCGTATAAATGAGATCCTACAGTATTGAGACTGGCTTCTTTTACTTCATGTATTTGAGATGCCTCTAACTCGCTGCGTGTATCAGTAGAACATTGCTTTATATTGCTGTATAGTATTCCATTGTATTGCATACCATGGTTTATTTACTCATCTGTTGACAGACATATGGTTTGTTTCCAGCTTTTGACAATTATAAATAAACTGCTATAAATATTCTCATGCAGTTTTTTGTGTGGACATATATGCATTTTTTTTTTTTTGAGATGGAGTCTCGCTCTGTTGCCCAGGCTGGAGTGCAGTGGCGCGATCTCGGCTCACTGCAAGCTCCGCCTCCCGGGCTCATGCCATTCTCCTGCCTCAGCCTCCCCGAGTAGCTGGGACTACAGGCACCCGCCACCCTGCCCGGCTAATTTTTTGTATTTTTAGTAGAGACGGGGTTTCACCATGTTAGCCAGGATGGTCTGCATCTCCTGACCTTGTGATCCGCCCGCCTTGGCCTCCCAAAGTGCTGGGATTGTCATTTCTCTGGAGTACATACCAGAAGTAGGAATCCCAGGTCATATGGCAACTGTATGTGTAACTTTTGAAGAAACTGCCAAACTGCTTTCCAAAGTGGATGTACCATTTTTTATTCTCACCAGCAATGTATGTGAGTTCCAGTGGCTGTACATCCTAACTAGGACGTGGGATTATGAGAAGTTTGTTTGTTTGTTGTTTAGCCATTCTAACATGTGTATAATGGTATCTCAATGTGGTTTTAATTTGCATTTCTGTGTTGAGCATCATTTTGTGTTTGTTTGCCATACATATATCATCTTCAATGAAGTGTCTGTTTAGCAAAATGATCTTTTGCTCATTTTTTATTAGGTTGTTTGTTTTCTTACTATTCCACTGAGAATTTTTAAATATATTATGAAAGCCCTTTATAGATTATCAAGTATTTTCTTTCAATCTGGGGCTTGTGTTTTCATCCTCTTAGTAATGTCTCTCAAACAGCTGTCTTAGACTACCCTAGTCTGGACTAGCCCCTCCCTGCCCCCTCACTGTAAGGCAGGCATACATACCTTCAGATGCATGTTCGACCCTGGGTTTCCCAGTGTCACCAACAATCACTCTGGCACCTTGCGAAGATATTGGCTCTCTGCATTGCTTACTGTCCCGTTTGGACTGGTCTAATTGATGAGAGTGCTTACATCTGTTTTGAACTTTCCAGAGAGAATGGCTCAACTCCCTTGCATTTCAAAAACCTTCTCCTCTTGCTAGTGGCTTCAGAATGCAGGTCCAGTTATACTAAAATAAGTTCCCTGTTTTAGCTGAATATGAGATTCACTTAGCAAAAGAAGTTATCAAGGAAGGTTAACACATCTCCTTTCTTGGAAATGTCATTCTTGGGCTCATGATGCCTTGGCATTTTATTCTCAGGAGAAATAGCTTTTAAATACACCTGGGAAAGTGTTTTAGTTTTTAGAATCTATAATACATACTAACACATAATGAGAATAAATGTGTGTGTGTGTGTGTGTGTGTATGGGTTTTAGTTTTATTGTTTGTTTGTTTTTGAGACAGGGTCTTGTTCTGTCACTAGAGCCAGAGTGCAGTGGTGCAACCATGGCTCACTGCAGCCTCAACCACCTGGGCTCAAGTGATTCTCCTGCTTCAGCCTCCCAAGCAGCTGAGACTACAGGCACGCACCACTATGCCTGGCTAATTTTTGTATTTTTTGTAGAGACAGGGTTTCACCATGTTGTCTAGGCTAGTCTCAAGCTCCTAGGTTCAGGCAATCTGCCCACCTTGGCCTCCCAAAGTGCTGGAATTACAGGCATGAGCTACCATGCCTGGCCTGAGAATATATTTTTACAATATTTTCTTCCAGTTTGTATTACTTTATGTGGTAGTAGATTTTTTTTTCCTAATTTGTTTATGCTTTAACTAACATTAAATTGGTTCTGCCAAGAGAAAAATATAAGGTATAAAAATTGGAAAGGAAGATATATTATGATTATTTACAGATTATATAATTATTTACATAGAATACAAAAAGAATCAACTGAAAAACTCTTTTTAATCAAACTTTTTTTTTGAGGGTATTATAGATTCACATTCAGTTGTAGCAGATAACACTACTTTGCCCAGGTTCCCCCAATAGTAACATTTTGCAAAACTATAGTACAATATCACAACCAGGATATTGACATTATACCATCAGGATCACCAGAAGGATCCCTCATGTTGCCCTTTTATGTGTGTGCCCATTTCCTACCACCACCTCCCCCTTCCTTAACCCCTGGCACCCATTAATCACTTCTCCATAATGTTATCATTTCTCCTATATAAATATATCATTTACATCATATATATCATTTCCACTATAAAAAGTCACAAAGTATGTAACTTTTGGGGACTGGCTTTTTTCATTCAGCATAATTCTCTGGAGATTCATCTAAGTTACTGCATATATCACTAGTATAAATAGTCCATTCCTTCTTATTGCTGAGTAGTGTTCCATGGTGTGGATCTACCACAGTTTGTTTAACCATTCACTCATTGAAAGACACCTGGATTGTTTTCTAGTTTTTGCCTATTATGAATAAAGCTGTTATAAACATTTATGTACAGGTTTTTGTGTGAACATAAGCCTTCATTTTTCTGGGATAAATGCCCAGAGGTATATTTGCTGGGTCATAAGACAGTTACATGTTTAGTTATTTAAGAAACTGCCAAACCATATTCTAGACGCTGTACCATTTTACATTTCTACCAGCAACATATGAGTGATCTCATTTCTCCACATCTGCACCAGCCTTTGGTGTTGTCACAATTTTTTTTAAATTTAGTCATTCCAATAGGTGTATAGTGATGTCTCACTATTTTTTTCTCATTGTGGTTTTAATTTGCATTCCCCCAGTGGCTGATGATGTTGAATGCCTTTTCATGTGCGTATTTGTTGTCTGTATTTCTACTCTGATGAAATGTCTTTTTATGTCTTGTGCCCATGTTCTAGTTGGATTATTTGTGCCTCTACTGCTGAATTTTGAAAGTTCTTCACATATTCTAGAACTAGTTCTTCGTCATATGTGTGGTTTCTCCCACTCGTCATCTTCTTTCGCAGATAAAAGCTTAATTTTAGTGAAGTTCAGTTTATCCATAAATTGTTCCTTCTATGAATTATACTTTTGGTGTCAGATCTAAGAATTGTTTGTCTAGCTCCAGATTGCAACAATTTTCTCCTATTTTTATTGTACAAGTTTTATAGTTCTACATTTTATGTTTAAGTTGGCCATCCAATTTGAGTTTGTCTTTGTATAAGGACTTAGGTTAAGATTCCTTTTTTCTTTCTTTCTTTCTTTCTTTTTGCCTAAGGATATCCAATTATTTCAGCATCATTTGTCGAAAAGACTGTCTTTTCTCCATTGACTTGCTTTTGCATCTTTATCAAAAATCAGTTAAGTATATGTGTGTTTCTATTTTGGGTTTTTTTTTTAATTATGTTCCATTGATCTATGTGTCTCTTCCTTCACCAATACCATGTAGGTTTGGTTACTGTAGTTATATAATGAGTCTTTAAATTGGGTAGACTGATCCTCCTATGTTTTTCTTCTTTGTCAAATTTGTTTCAGCTATTCTTGTTCCTTTTTATTTCCATATAAATTTTAAAATAATTTGTCTAGCTGTTAAAAATTTTGTTGGGATTTTAATAAGGATTGCATTAAACCAGTATATATATATGGAGATAATTTGCATCTTTACTGTGTGGAGTATTCCAGTTTATGAACAAAGTAGGCCTCTCCATTTATGTAGATATTTGATTTCTTTAATCAGTTCTGTGTAGTTTTAGCATACATGTCCTATGCATGTTTTGTTCATTCTATGCCTATTTTTATAGATTGTAATTTATTTAAAATTTCTGTTTCCATATGTTTATTATGTGCATATAGAGATAGTTGATTAATTTTCATGTTTGTCTTGTATCCTGCAACTTTGGTGTATTCATTTATTAGGTTTAATTTTTTTTTAATTTGAGAAGCAAGAGCTTTTTCTGTTGTCCAGGCAGGAATGCAGTGGCACCTTCTTTGGCATCTTAGCTCACTGCAGCCTTGAACTCCTGGGCTCAAGGGATCCTTCCACCCCAGACTCCTGAGTAGCTAGAACTTCAGGTGCAAGACACCACATCCAGGCTTGCATCTGGATGTGCTGAGTTGCACCTGCAGTTCTAGCTACTTTAAAATCTTTTTAAATTTTTTTTGTAGGGAGAAGATCTTGCTATGTTATCCAGGCTGGTCTTGAACACCTGACCTCAAGCTATCCTCCTACCTCCGGCCTCCCAAAGTGCTGGGATTATAGGTGTGAGCCACTTTGCCTGGCCTCATATATTAGTTCCAAGAGATTTTTTTTTAAATCAATTCTTGGAATTTTCTGTGTAGACCATCATAGTATCTGCATATAGGGACAGTTTTATTCTTCCTTTGTGGCCTATATGCATTTTATTTCCTTTTCTTGCCTTATTCTATTGGCTAGAACTTTCAGCACTGTGTTGAATAAGTATAGTGAAAGCAGATATCCTTGCCTTGTTGTTAATCTTAGAAAGAAAGCATTTGGTCTTTCCCCATCAAGTATAATGTTATCTGTCTATTTTCTAAACGTTTTTTAAAAAATCACACTGAAGAAATTTCTCTCAATTCCTCTTTTTCTGGGTTTTAAAAAAATCATGAATGAGTGTCTAATTTTGTCAGATGCTTTCTCTGCATTGATTGACACGATTGTGTAATTTTTCTTAATTAGCCTGTTAGTATGGTAGATTATACTGATGAGTTTTAAAATATAGAACCAGCCTTGCATCCCTGGAATGAACCCCATTTGGTCATGGCGTATAATTCTTTTTATTTATTGCTGAATTCTGTTTGCTTATATTTTGTTAAGGACTTTTTTTAAATGAATGTTAACATTTTAACTTTTTATTTAAGAAATGGAGGTCTCAAGATATTGCCCAGGCTGGTCTTGAGCTCCTGGCCTAAAGCAATCCTCGTGCCTCAGCCCCCTAAGTAGCTGTGACTACAGGCAGACACCACCTCACCTGGTCTGTTAAGGATTTTTGTGTCTATATCTGTGAGAGATTTATTGGTTAATAGTTTTCTTTTTCTTTTGTTTCATCTTCTTTTTAAATGTTGCACTATCTATGTCTGGTTTTGGTATAAGGGTAACACTAACCTCATAAAATTAATTAGAAAGTGTTTCCCCTCTTCTATAAAAGAGATTTTATTGAATTGGTGTTAATTCTTTAATAATTTGGTAGAATTCTCTAGAGAAACCATCTGGCCTGAAGGTTTCCTTTTTTGAATATTTTTAAATTATTAATTTCATTTTCTTAATTATAAAGCAATTCAGATTATCTGTTACATATTGGGAAATGTGGCAGTTTGTGTTTTTTGAGAACTTGGTTCATTTCACCTAAGCTTTAAAAGTTATGTGTGTAGAGTTTTCATGGTAGTTTCTTATAGCCCTGCAGGGGCTATTAAGTCTGCAGGGGCTACAGTGGCATCCCTCATTCATTCTTGAGATTGATAATTGAGTCATTCCTATTTTTTTGTGTTTTTCATTTTTGCTAAAGGACTGTCAATTGAAGTGATTTTTTCAAAGAAACGGCTTGTTGTTTCATTGCTTTTTCCCTATTGTGTTTGTTCTCTGTTTTATTGATTTCTGCTCTTTATTATTTCCTTCCTTCTGCTTGCTTTTAGGTTTTGGGGTGGGAGGCTGGCTCTTCTTTTACTAGTTCCTCGAGGTGGGACCTTAGATGACTGATTTGAGGTGTTTCCTGTTTTCTAATGTGTGGATTTATAAACTTCCCCTTAGCAGTGCTTTAGCTGTGTCCCTCGGATTTTGATATGTTGTATTTTCATTTTTATTCAGTTCAATGTACTTTTTCATTTCAATTGAAACTTTCTCTTTGAATTATGGATTATTTAGAAATCACATTCAAGCCAGGCATTGTGGCTCATGCCTGTAATCCCAGCTACTCAGGGGGGCTGAGGCAGGTGGATTACCTGAGGCCAAGAGTTCAAGACCAGCCTGGGCAACATAGCAAGACGCCCCATCTCTAAAACTATAAATAATAATAAATTAGTTGATGCGGTGGCAAGCATCTGTGGTCCCAGCTGCTCAGGAGGCTGAGGCAGGAGGATTTTTTGAGCCCTGGAATTCGATGCAGCAGTGAGCTATGTTCACACCACTGCACTCCAGCCTGAATGACAGAGCAAGCTTCCATCTCTAAAAATTAAAATTAAAATTTTTAAAAAATTGTGGTCTAGGCACAAAGGCTCATGCCTGTAATCCCAACACTTTGAGAGGCTGAGGCAGGAGGATCACTTGAGCTCAGGAGTTTGAGACCAGCCTATGAAACATAGTCTAGAGATCCTGTCTCCAAAAAAAAAAATAATTTAAAAATTAGCTAAGCGTGGTGGCACGTGCCTATAATCCCAGCTACTCAGAAAGCTGAGATGGAAGGGTCACTTGAGCCCTGGAGACTGAGGCTGCAGTAAGTTGTGATCATGCTACTGCACTCCAATCTGAATGACAGAGCAAGACCCCATCTCAAAAATATTTTTTTAAATTTAAAAATAGAAAAATAACTTTCAATGTGGTGGGATTCAAAATTAGTATGCAATAATTATTTAAAATAGCTTAATGAACAATCAAATGCATAGTAATAAACATAAAAATGTTCATAATCTGTACAACAAAATTTTAAAATGAAATTGAAGAATTCCAAAGAAAATTTGAACAAATTAAAATTCATATCACATTCTTAGAGTCAACATCATAAATGTCAATTCTAAGTTAATTTATAATTTTAATATGACTCCAATAAAAATATCATTTGATTTTCTTTAAGAAAGAAAAAGTCTGATTCTAGAGGAATCTGTAAAAAAATTGACAAGCAAGAGTAAGCAGAAAAAATTTTTTAAAGACTATAAACTCGATTATAAAACTACAGTAATTAATACGGTATGATACTAGCACATGAAGGGATAAACAGATGAGTAGAAAATAAAGTCCAGAAATAGACCTAAACACATAGGAGAATTTAGTAGTGTGTATGATTGAAGATGACATTTCAAACCATAGAATAAAAGGTAAATTTTTAAATAAATGAGGTTAGGATCCTCACCATCTTATATACAGTTAGATCCCTTCTTCACATGATTTCAAAGTAAGTTCTAGATGGATTAAGATTGAAGCATGATTACCAGCCTGGGTAACATGGTGACACCATGTCTCTATAAAAAATTTAAAAAATAGCCAGGTATGCACCTGTGGGCCCAGTGCTTGTGGTCCCAGCTACTTGGGAGGTTGAGGTGGGAGGTGGGAGGATCACTTGAGACTGGCAGATCAAGGCTGCAGCGAGTCATGATCATGCCACTGCACTCCAGCCTGGGCAACACAGCAAGACCCTGTCTCAAAAAAAAAAAAGAAAAGAAAAAAGAAATTAAACCACAGAAATGTTAATGAAAAACATGGAAACATAAAAATAGTCTTGAAAAAAGAAGGCCTAAATATGACACAAAACATAGTGAAATAGAAAAGATCCAATCAACTATGAAAAAAATTTCATGCATAATAAAAACACCACAAATAAAGTCAGGAAAAAAAATAATGATGTGGTCGATTTGCAGCCCCTCTTATAGAGAAGGAGTTTCCTAGTAAAAGAAGTTCCTTCAAACTGATAAGAATCAACCAACTGCCCAGTAGAGAAATGGGCAAATAATAGGAATATTGAAATTGATATGGTTTGGCAGTGTCTCCACCCAAATCTCATCTTGAATTGTAGTTCCCATAATCCCCATATGTAGTGGGAGGGACCTGGTGGAGGTAATTGAATCATGGGGGCAGTTTCCTCCATGCTATGCTCATAATGGTAAGTTCTCACAAGATCTGATGGTTTTTTAAGGGGCTTCTCCCTTCACTCAGCTCTCATTCTTGTCTCTCCTGCCACCATGTGAAGAAGGACATGTTTGCTTGCTTCCTTTCCACCATGATTGTAAGTTTTCAAGGCCTCCCCAGCCATGCTGAACTGTGAGACAGCTAAACCTCTTTCCTTTAGAAATTACCCAGTCTTGGGCAGTTCTTTATGGCAGTGTGAGAATGGACTAATACAGTAAAACGAAAATACTCAATCTTACTTATAGTAAGAGAACCACAAAGGAGATGCCAATTTCTGTGTATCACATTGTCAGAGATCAAAAAGATTAATAACACAACATATTGGAGAAGGAATGGGAAACAGGAACTCTCATACATTGCTGGTGGTAGTATAAATTGTCACTACATTCATGGAGAGCAACTTGGCTGCATTATCTTTGGATAAATTACTATCCAATAATTTATTTGAATAACAGTCTTGCAAATATAAGAATCACATTTACCCAAAGATATGTATTGTAGCAATTTTCTATATGAAATGATTACAAGCAACCTAAATGTCTATCAGTAGAGGATTAAGTAAATAAATTATGATCTGTTTATACAATGGAATACCATGGAACTGTTAAAATAACAAGGCACGCTGGGCGCGGTGGCTCTTTTGTCTGTAATCCCAGCACTTTGGGAGGCCGAGACAGGTGGATCACGAGGTCAGGAGATCGAGACCATCCTTGCTAACATGGTGAAACCCCGTCTCTACTAAAAATACAAAAAAATTAGCCGGGCGTGGTGGTGGGTGCCTGTAGTCCCAGCTACTCGGGAGGCTGAGGCAGGAGAATGGGTGTGAACCCAGGAGGCAGAGCTTGCAGTGAGCCAAGATAGCACCACTGCACTCCAGCCTGGACAACAGAGCAAGACTCTGTCTCAAAAAAATAAAAATAAAAATAATAATAACAAGGCAGTTTTATATGAATGAATATAGAAAGATATCTAAGATATTTGTTAATGGCAAAAAGCAAGGTAGGGGAAAATATGTATAGTATGCTAGAATTTTTAAAAATACATGTATATGTATATGTGTTTACATAGACTCTCTGGGAGGGTATACAACAAACTAGTAACTGGTTGGCCAGGGACAGGGTATGAGTGGAGCTTGGGAAGCTGTGCGACAGGTTTGAGAGGACGATGTTCTAGGCTCATCTCAAAAGTATACTGTATATAGTTTTGTATCATTTGAGTTTCATATCACGTGAAGGGATTAACTATTCAAAAAGTAAGTAAAATAATTTTTTAAATGTTTAAGTAAGAATCCTGAGAGACAGAGACAGAATGATCTTTTTGCCCTGAGCACAGTCTAAATATTCAAGGGGTAGAGGCACATGAACCACGAGTCAGGAGAATTTTGATTGTGTGCTTCTTTAGAAATACGCCCTTATGGAATTAGGGAATTCCAAGATGAGAAAGTGTAAGAGATCCCGGGACCAGCTTATACTTTGTGGCAGAGGGAAGGACAGTCTGAGAATAAACGTTTGCTAAGGAATGATCTGTAAAGAATCCCCAGACAGTCATTAAGATATGAATGCTGAAAGAAAGAAGTGTTGGAGCTGGTTAGCAACCCCAGACACTCCCTGTCATCAGTCCGACATGCTGCGTCCTGCCTTTGTTGCTGGGGAGTGTCTTCCACACCTACTCTCCTTGCTTCCAGCCCAGACCTCATTCAGAGGAACGAATGAGGTGTCTGCAGCGTGGCTGCTTCATCTGACCTTCTGGAATCTAGGGACAGCAACCAAGTGCCTAGCAAACTGACCATGGTCTCCTCCTTGCTGTGACCCAGAGCTGCTCTTCTTGCAAATTGGAAGATATCAGGTGCCTTGTTGGTCTCTAGTCCTCCCTGGAGTATCAGGTATCCTTCCTGGAACCTTCCTATGCCTGAGTCAGAGGGACAGTCTATTTCCTGGATTCTAAGTTTCACTTTTAACTAACCCTAAAGTCCTATGACTGGTGATAAAAGCACTGGTGGTAATTGTGATTTCATTCATCTTTAAGGATTATCTGTCTGTCTATATATCTGTCCATCTATCCTCAAATCACAGCCCTCATTTGATCTCTACAGCAATCCTATAGGTAGATCTGATCTCTCATTTTTAAATGGCAGTAAAATATTTGTACGAAGATTTTGTTTTCCAAGTACTTTCCTCTGTGTTATCTCATTGCTGTCCCCTGACACTCTCATCTAGGTGAGGAAGGATTTATTAACCCAGATATATCAATGAGGGTATTGGAGAGTCAACTGTGTGGAATAGTGGGCCTTTGAGATAAGAACATGTGGGTTTGACTCACATGGATTCTTTTTTGTTTTTTTTGTTTGTTTGTTTTTTGTTTTTTTATTTTTATTTTTTGTAGAGACAAGGTTTTGCCATGTTGCCCAGGCTGGTCTCGAACCGCTGGGCTCAAGCCATCCACCTGTCTCAGCCTTCCAGGGTGCTGGGATTACAGGCGTGAGTCACTGTGTCCAGCATCACATGGATTCTTTACACCTATTTCCTCAGGTGTAAAATGGGGATAATAATATCTATATCAGGCTGGGCACGGTGGCACATGCCTATAATCCCAGTACTTTGGGAGCCAAGGTGGGAGAATTGCTTGAGTTCAAGAGTTCAAGTCCAACCTGGGCAACATAGTGAGACCTCATCTCTACAAAAAATAAACAAAATTAGCCAAGCGTGGTGACACATACCTATGGGCCCAGCTACTTGGGAGGCTGAAGTGGGAGGATCACTTAAGTCCAGGAGGTCAAGGCTGCAGTGAGCTGTGATCGTGCCACTCTACTCCAGCCTGAGTGTCAGAGCAAGGCCTCATCTCCTAAATAATAATAATATCTACATCATGTCATACTGGATTACTGTTAGGATTAAATGTCTATAATGTCTATCATTCAGAAGAATTTCAAGAATTAATATTCCAGTGATTTCCTGTTTCTTGACCTGTTCTATCACTTAAAATATTTTTTTACTTTGAAAATGTTTTATGGAAGAGGAGAGAATAATATAATGAAACTTATGTATCCATCATCCTTGTCAATAATTATCAATATAAGGCCAATCTTGTTTCACCTATGCCCCTACCCACTTCCCCCTTTCTTTTGTTAAACAGTTTTCAAAGTAGTGAGGCATTTCCCTGACATCCTTCAGATGTGACTAATGGCTTATTTAGGATTATTTTAAAATATTATTAGGAATTCATAGATTTAAACACATTTGTTATGTTTCTCCCTGTTGCAGTTATTATCTTTATTGATGCTCAGCTTGACCAGGGAAACCTTATTCTTCTTGGTCTCTGAGTCCTTTTGACATGACTCTACTAGTCTTTGACACGACTCTACTGGTCTTTGACACTCTGTTTGCTTTTTTGGTATGACAGTATGTTTAGGCTTATCTTGTATGTTTGCTGCATCAAATTTGGAGTCAGTCATTTCTCCAAGGAGGCCCAATTCCTTCTTCGGGAATGGTATTTAGAATTCATAATCTGATTGCTAGAGGTGCTCATTCTGACTAGGATGGTCATTGTTTCTAGGCCTTACAGTGAACAGAGCTAGGAAATGTGCATGCACAGGTGTGTGTGATTAACCTAAAACATATGAAGGACATACTGATACTCCCAGTTCACAGCCAAGACTACAGAATTTTTACGCAATCTCATTAATCTTACTTTTGTGTCTCCTTTCAACCAGTAAATCTTGTTTCCAAGCAAGATCAACAGTATTACTCATTTGATTTATTCCCAATGAACATATAAAATCTCACAATAATAATATTATAGTACCATCAATAATATGGTTATTGAAAACAGTTTAGGATTTCTTGTGGGGCATAAGGTAGTTCTTTTTATCTTTGTGGTACATCTATCTAAGGCTAGCTTGTCCAGCCCACAGGCCACATGCAGTCCAGGATGGCTTTAAATGCAGCTCAACACAAATTCATAAACTTTCTCAAAACATGGATTTTTTTGCAATTTATTTTACCTCCTTTTAGTGTTAGTGTATTCTATGTGTGGCCCAAGACAATTCTTCTTCTTGCAGTGTGGCACAGGGAAGCCAAAAGATTGGACACCCCTGATAAGGATATGCAGTCAAATTACAATTGTTTTAATCTATGTGTAGTATGCCAACCAACTGGGCTCAAAGGTTCATTTGTTTCATTTTATCTTCATTTTTACATAATTCTTTGAAACTTTTTTTTTTTTTTTTTTTGAGATAGGGTCTTGCCCTGTCACCCAGGCTGGAGTGCAGTGGCATGATCTCAGCTCACTGTAACCCCTGCCTCCCAGGTTCAAGCGATTCTCATGCCTCAGCCTCCCGAGCAGCTGGGATTACAGGTGCCCACCATGACGCCCGGCTAATTTTTGTATTTTTAGTAGAGACAGGGTTTCACCATGTTGGTCAGGCTGGTCTCGAACTCCTGACCTCAAGTGATCTGCCAACCTTGGCCTCCCAAAGTGCTGGGATTATAGGCATGAGCCACTGTGCCCACCCTCTTTGAAATTTTTTAATTATGTTTTGTAATTATGTCAAATATTTACATAGTCCAAAGCAAATCCATGTAACAAGGTCTGTTCAAAGTCCAACTTCTGTCTGTCCCCTGCACTTCTTGTCTCCCTCTCCTTGTAGGGTTTTTTGTTTGTTTGTTTTTGAGACAGAGTCTTGCTCTGTCACCCAGGCTAGAGTGCAATGGCATGATCTTGGTTCACTGCAACCTCTGCCTCCCCAATTCAAGTGATTTTCATGCCTCAGCCTCCCAAGTAGCTGGGATTACAGGTGTAAGCCACAACGCCTGGCTAATTTTTTGCATTTTAGTGGAGATGGGGTTTCACTATGTTGCCCAGGGTAGTCTCAAACTCCTGAGCTCAGGCAATCTGCCTGCCTCAGCCTCCCAAAGTGCTAGGATTACAGGCGTGAGCCACCGCACCTGGCCCCTGTAGGTCTTTTAAAATGTATTTTATGCTTCATCATTTTATTGTCTTTTTTAAAAATACAAGCAAATGCATATATATTTTTGCATTCCTCCTCTCTTTCCTAAATAAATGGTAGCATATTAAACATTATTTTCTATCATGTGTTTTTCACTTAACAAGAACCTTGGAGATTGTAGGTATATAGGATATATTTTAAATAGATTCCTGGAATTGGGATTGTTGGGTCAAAGAGTAAATGCATACTTATTTAGATAGCTATTGCCACATTCCCCTCTACAAGAGTGGATTATACCATTTCCTGCAGACACTTTTTTTGGGGGGCAGATGGAGTCTTGCTCTGTTGCCCAGGCTGGAGTGCAGTTGCGCAATCTTGGCTCACTATAACCTCTGCCTCCCGGGTTCAAGCCATTCTCCTGCCTCAGCCTCCCGACTAGCTGGGACTACAGGTGTGCCCGGCTAATTTTTGTATTTTTAGTAGACACAGGGTTTCACCATGTTGGCCATGCTGATCTCAAACTCCTGACCTTAAGTGATCCACCCTCCTTGGCCTCCCAAAGTGCTGGGATTACAGGTGTGACCCAACATGCCCAGCCTCCTGCAGACACATTCTAATGTTATAACAAATGACTAAATGGAATATGTTATTGCTACCAAGAAAGGTTATATGATTGTTCAGAACTGGTCTTGAACCCTGCTAACTAATGATCTGATCCTGTCTATCATGCCTTCTCCCCATGTTACAGATTAAGAAATTGAGTCACACATAGAGAAGTGTCCTACTCTAAATGACATAACAAGCTAGGATTTAAAATTTGCATCTCCTGACCCTAAAATTGGGTCCCCTTTTAATGTGTTATGGATTTATTTATGGTGAGCTTGGTTTGTTTATCTGTAGACAGAGAAGAAAAACATAGTTCTCCTAGGAAGCTAAAAAATTAATGAGATGATTATGGGTAAATTCTCCCCTGGTGGAGGAGAGATTCTTCGAGGTATGGCTGAACTTCTTGTGGTGAATAGGGAATCAGCAATTAGACTGTGGTGTCAGGGCACTAAGAAATGATCTTACAGATAAGAGAGACAATCACCCTTGCAGGATCTGTCCTTTTTTTTTTTTTTTTTTTTCTTCCAGAGTGCTTTGAACTTCTTTGAACAAAGATGCTGTTATGCTATGCAAAACTTTACCAATGGATGTGGACAAAAATGTAATTTCCCCAGTGAATGAGCAAGCTGCAAACCACAAAGGCTTTTTTTTTTCTTCCTTTCTTAGAGTAACCCTGGGGTTCTCCTTTGTGCTTGCTTGAGACAGGTTGATTGACTTATGTGCAATTTGGGACGCTGGAGTTTACCTTCCCTCCGCAGCCTGGAACAGAGCCTCCTCTGGTGTTGCAAGGAAGAGGCTGAATGAGGCAGAGAAGGTAAGCAGGACTTGGGCCTGGGGTATGTGTCATTGGAGGGGTGAGAATGAGGGGACATTCTCGCCTCCTGCCCCTTCTCTTTGATAAGGGAAGCCTGTTTGCCTGGCCCCAGGAATCTTCTGAGAGGCATCTCCTTTCTTCTCCCCAGAGATAGAAGCCCTGAGTTGCCACAGAACTGCATGCCAAAGTTCTCCTTGCAAGGAGGCTGGTGAGGGTAGCGTTTAAGCCTTCCCTGGCAGGGACAGTCAGCCAACATTAGCGCTGGCATTGTCCCAATGTCCACCTAATTGAAAAATTGGGAAACAACTTTGTGACCCACACCCTACTTAGTCTCGGCCTCTACAACCTGGATGCTCCTGAGTGACAGCCCTGGCATATGGGAGACAGTCCAAGAACCCCTGCCCTGGGCGGGGCATTGGGCCCTGGCAGATGGACAGTTATCCAGGCGCAGTAAGCAGCCAAGGCCCACAGCACTTAGCCATGCCCTGTGCCCAGGGTCTGCCTTGTTCCATTCCGGGTTAGATTTTGCTGCCACTCCCAGCAACTCCTGTTTTACTCTCAGGCCCTGGTAGCCGGGGAGGACATGTGACAACTGAGGGCTGCAATTTTAACAGAGCAGTAACGGGCAGTAGTGACAGACTGGCCTCCTGGAGGCTGCTGGGCTGAGAGGGTCTGGGCTGGAGGCCTGAGCAGGGCAAAATTTCCTTATTCTTTGAGTTTGGGCATCTCTACCTCATCGAAGGTGTCTTTCTCACTCCACCTCACTCTCTTGTTGTCTTTTTTCCTCCCAGAAAGAGTTGGAGCTGGGGGGAGGGGCGTGGAGAGGGTTGAAAAGTGGAAGCTGAGAGTGCCGACGACATGGACTTGGGATCCAGACACATCTGCTGGAATTCCAGATCCACTTGCTTTGTGACCTTGGGAACGCTGAACCCCTCTAGGCCTCAGTTTCCTAGTTTGTACAACAGGGATAATAACCAACATTTTGTGGTAAAGATTAAAGAGTAAATATATAAACAGATGAAGAGCCCTGCAGAGTGCCTGGCTCATTTAATCAATGAGGGTTATTATGATTTCTCATATCAATGGCAATTCAGATATAGTTTTTTTTTTTATCAAGGTAGTTTCTTGTGTGGGCCCTTTAGGGCCACCACTTATCTCAGAACAGTGTCAGGTTTCAGAGACCACCTGGGAAATTCCTCTGACCTTAGGGCTTTTTCACCCTGTCATTGTTACTAAACATTGAACTTGAACATACTGACTGACAGTGTGTGTTTTGGCAGGGGTGGCGCGGGCAGGGGGTGCATGCCATTCTTTTACTACACGTGGAGGAGTATGATTGCAAAAGCGGTGTACCCATTTATTTAAACGGGTACGAAGTATATATGAAACTGGATGGGGACAGAATCGGGTAGTTAATGCAGCTCTGTGTCACCAAGTCCCCGCTCTTGGCACTTTCCCATGCACCCTTCCCACTCTCTATCCCTGTCCCTCCACAGCTCTCTCTGAACATTCACTCTAGGTAACCTGACCAGATCCCCACCTAAGGAACCCCGGGGGCTGGCTTCTCTGATGACAGCAGCCTCACTGTCCGACAGCAGATATGGCTGCCCTGGAGTCGTGCCCTGCCACCTCCTGCCTGACCAGAATAGATTCGTTCTGGCTCGTACTTCTGGACACCACCAGTCTAACCAGCAAAATCGAATATCGGTTCTGAGCTTAATCCTTTTAATAGTGTTTCCATTTACATTAATTGTGTCATTTGACTGTCAACACAATTCAGTGATATGAGCAAGGCTGCTGTCATCATTCCCATTTGATTGGTGAATAAACTAAGGCTCTCTGAGAAGTTATTTCCCCCAAGGTTTCGCAAAACTAATTAGCAAAAGAGCCCCTCCTAGGCTTGGATGCGCTGAATTGTAGACTGTTTTTCTCGCTGTGATATCACACTGCCTCCTCCAGTCTGAGGCACCCACAAATCATGAAGGGGGAGTACCTATCAAAGGACTTTCAGACACACAGAGGAACCTTAAAAAAGACATAAGACTGCAGAGACTGCTTGCCAGCAGGACATACGGCTGTTGAGCGTACAGTAAGTTCTGAGAGAAGGGAAGCTGACCCAGGCTTCTTTAGATGATGATAATCGTCATCATTATAATAATCAGCATCTCAGCACTCCCCGTGCACCAGGCACTGTGCCCTGCGCTCCATCCTCCCACAGTGGCCCCATGAAGTAGGGCCCATTATTACCCGTGTTTTACTGATGGCAGAATAAAAGTCCACAGAGGTTAAGGAACTTGCCCAAAGCCCCCCATCTAAGAAAGGGCCTGGATTCAAATCCTGTGGTCCAACTCTGGCACCTGTGTGGCAACCATTTGGGTTTGGGGCTGGCTGTGTATTTAGGGTGGCTCATTCCAAGATTCACTGGAAACACTGCGTAGCTGTTTCTGAGCAAGTGTTCCCCGGGGCTGCAGGTGTGAGCTCTGAAACCGCCTAAGGAGGAAGCCCTCCGTTTATCTGCGTCTTCTCCCTTTGTTGGAAGCCACTGCCATATGGAGCTGCCCCAAGCGTCTGCTCCTGAGCCGCCCCTCCCTCCTCCTCCCACTCCAGCATGCAGCACCCTCCAAGCTCAGGCTTCGTCTCTCCCCTTCCCTCCCGCCATCCCCAGTACGTCCACTCCTTGTCACCTCCCATCACGGGAAGCAGACACTGGCCCTCTGATGCAAGGCAGAGAAACCACTGAGCTTCCCCAGGCCTTCAATTTCCCAAAAGGATCTATTTGATTAATTGCACTCACACTCCTAAGTCCCTCTGCCTGTCAGAGAGAAGCTGGGCCTCCTCTCTCCAGAAACATTGACACAGGCCCCCTTGGACAGCATGGGCCCAGGACACACAACTGTGGATCACTGAGGGTGGGACCATGGAGCTTCATTAGGAACTGTCTTCCCCACCTGCTGCCCCCAAACCGATTTCAGGCCCCTGAGGCAGGCACCTGAGGCAGCCCCCATGCTTAGCCCCATTTTCCTGTGGGCACCGAGACCTGTAGGGTAAGTGTGGGGTACATGAGTGTCAACGGTGAAAGCTACTGCCCTAATAGCTTGTGCTGTTTACCTCCTTTCTGCTGCAGTGATGCAATCATGTCTAGACCCCTCTCAGCCTTTCCTGCTGCCTCGCCAAGCCCACCTTTCCACCAGAGGCTGGGCTGTTTGAAACAGCATGTCACCTGTGAGTTTCTAATAAGAGGACCATATGCTCTAGCAAAGGGAGGCCCTTCTAGGGCATAAGACAGCAAGGTTTCCTCCACACCACTGGAGCTAAGAGTCTTTGGTATAAGCACTTGCAGCCGCCAGCGCTTTGCAACCAGACTTCTAGACAAATGGTGCATCTTATAACTCAGGAAAATCCTCATTCTGTTGGCTGCCTCCCCCTTTTTGCTCCCACCTCCCCTCCCCCATGCCTCCTGTATTTTCACATCTCCTCCAGCCTGTAGAAGCCTGCCAGGATAGCAGTTGGATCCAGACTGATGTCTGTATGGGATGTAAATGCAGAAGGCTGCAGGGAGGGAGAGAAGGAACAGGTGCTGCTCCCTCCTGCTGTCTTAGTTCTTTCCTCTCTATGCTCCCGCTTATCACATCAGACAGGAATTTAAAAAATGCAACCGGGGATGTGCTGTCCTTGAAATATCAGCAGCTAAACCAATATTGGCAGCTGAATTGATGTCAATTCAGAAGACCCAGCTCCCTCTCTGGGGCTGACTCCAGCTGTTTGGTGGATGTCAGAGCTGGTGGGACATTGGTGGAAGAAGCTGGGGTGGAGTGCTTTGCTTGTAGAAACCATGGCAAAGGCAGGAGAGAGGGGAGCCCAGAGGGGATTTGGCTGGCCTGGGATTTTATAGGAGCCTCCCTTCCTCTCTGGTCTAAAGTAGACTGCCTGTGCAGATAACCATCTGTTGGCTCTAAGAGTAAACAATAATTCCTTAGGTATAGAGCTAGGGTATGGTGTCTGCACAGGCATCGTCTACACTGTAGATCTACAAAGTAGATGTGAAACCCCATCTTGTCCAAAGCCTTATCGCAAATCAGTATACCAGCTGTAACTTGGGGGAGAGGAGAAAGGGCCAATCGTTTATTTTGTTTGCTTTGTTTTGTTTTGTTTTGAGATGGAGTTTTGCTCTGTCACCTAGGCTGGAGTGCAGTGGTGCAATCTGGGCTCACTGCAATCTTCACCTCCCAGGTTCAAGTGATTCTCCGGCCTCAGCCTCTCGTGTAGCTGGGATTACAGGTGCCCGCCACATGGCTGGCTAATTTTTGTATTTTTAATAGAGACAGGGTTTCACTGTGTTGGCCAGGCTGGTCTTGAACTCCTGAACCTCATGATCCACCTGCCTCAGCCTCCCAAAGTGCTGGGATTACAGGCGAAGAAAGGACCAATAGTTTTTGAATGCCAGCTATGTGCCAGGCCTTGGATTAGGTGCTATACATGTACATTAGCTCATTAATTCATTTAGGAATTGTCACAGCAACCTTGTAATAAATAAGTGCATTTATCCCACTTTTAAACATAAGAAAACAGAGAGAGAGAATAAACCGCGGAAGACCATGTAGCAGGTAAATGGCTAGGTGGGAGGGAAACTCAGGTGTGTGTGGCTGCAAGTCACATGTGCCAGCTGGATTAAACATGCTTCCTTGTGAGACTAAATCTCTGCATCTTGTCTGGTATGTTTCCCCTGGTCTGCATGGCTTCCCAGCTAGTGGTTTGTCATTCACCAGTTTATTAAGCCCAGCCCTGTTCTGCTTTGAGTTAATACTCACTTCTGTGAAGGGCCAAAGAAAAAGTAAAAGGCTCTTCCTTTGCCCTCAAGAAGCTCATAATCTGGCTAAGAGACTGAAAGTCATCTCTCTTTTCCCCAACCCAAGTTTCTTCTGCTACAGTCTTGCCCCTCTTTCTTTCCCTGCTCAAGCTCAGCCTATGGTTTTCAAATGGCTTTAGGACTATGGTCTGTTGAAACTAGGCTTGCAATCCACCCAATAGAGGACAGAATAAGCAGCTTGATTTGAGTGATGTCATGAGCAGATGTGTCCAGATGGTGGGTCCTCAGATGGACAATGGTCTGGATTTCAAATGGACAGCCCACTTAGGGAGCTTGGCAGGGCCCAGGGTGAGGAAGCTGGGGTTGGAGATAAGGATGGCTGGTGGAGTCGCACAGATATCTCTTGGGAAAGCTGCTCAGGGAGGGAGAGGTTTCTGGCCATTCTAGAGCCACCTTCCTTTTGTACAGCATTTTATAATTTACTGTGGAGATAGAGACCAGACAGTTTGTGACTTGCTCAAGGTGACATACAAGATCTTAGCCCTAGGTCTTTTTTTTTTTTAATTAACCAATCTTCAATGTATTAAAATTACAAATCCCCAAACCTAATTATTCCTTAAACTTTTTACCTCAATCAACAAATTTTACAATTTTCTTCATGAATCTTATAGATTTTAGCAATCACTTACTTGGTTTTATTAATAAACTTAGTTAATTTAATTCCTTTGAACATTTGAAACTGTATGTGTAAATTTATCCATTTTCCTTTTCAAAGTATCACAGTTTTTTTTCTAACAAAGGCTTCCAAGTCCTTATGTAATTCTTTTTTCATGTATATATATATATATATATATATATATTTTTTTTTTTTTTTTTTTTTTTTTTTGAGAGAGGGTCTCACTGTTGTTCAGGCTGGAGTGCAGTGGCACAATCTCAGCCCATTGCAGCCTCAACTTCCTGGGCTCAAGTGATCCTCCCGTCTCAGCCTCTTGAGTAGCTGGGACCACAGTTGCGCGCCACCATGCCCGGCTAATTTTTGTGTTTTTTATAGAGATGAAGTTTTGCCATGTTGCCCAGGCTGGTCTTGAACTCCTAGACTTGAACAATCCACCCACCTCCACCTCCTAAAGTGCTGGGATTACAGGCGTGAGCCACAGTGCCTTGCCTTATTACTATTTTTAAATGACAGCTTTATTGAGATACAATTCATGTTATAATATTTACTATATAAATTATAGAATTCAGGCTGGGCACAGTGGCTCACACCTGTAATCCCAGCACTTTGGGAGGCTGAGGCGGGTGGATCACTTGAGGTCAGGTGTTCGAGACCAGCCTGGTCAACATGGTGAAACCCCGTCTCTACTAAAAATATAAAAATTAGCTGGTGCACGGCAGCGGGTGCCTGTATTCCCAGCTACTCGGGAGACTGAGGCAGGAGAATCGCTTGAACCCTGGAGGCAGAGGTTGCAGTGAGCCGAGATGGCGCCACTGCACTCTGGCCTGGATGACAGAGGGAGACTCCATCTCAAAAATAGATAGATGATAGATAGATAGATGGATGGATGATACAATTCAGTGATTTTTAGTGCCCATAGACTTGAGCAGCCATCATCACAATGGATTTTAGGACATTTTTATCGCCACTCCCAGCCCCCGCAAGAATCTATGCCATTGTTAGTCACTCCTCTTCCCCACCTCCACCCCCAGCCCTAGGCAACCACTGATCTATTTTCTAGAGATTTGCCTATTCTGGACATTTCATATAAATGGAATCATACAATATGCGGTCTTTGTGTCTGGCTTCTTTTCCTTAGCAAGATGTTTTGAGAGTTCCCCACATCAGTAATTCATTTCTTTTTATGGCTGAATGATATTCCTCTGTGTAGATATACTGCATTTTGCTTATTCATCTGATGGAATTACTGGGTCATACTGTAGGTCTGTGTTTGACCTTTTGAAGATCCCTAGACCTTTTAATGCTAATTCCAAGGCCCCTTTCTGGACTTCTACCTTCAGCTCCTGAAGTATTTTTATACTCTACAAAAGTATACTCTATAAAAAATACTCTCTACCACCTGGGTCCCTCCTCCTTAGCCTTCCCAAATCTTGGGTCCCCACCCTTAGGGACCTGTCACACAAGATTATCACTCCCCACCTCACCATCCCCCTCCCTCTGACCACTCTTCTTTAATGACAGAGCCCCTGGAGACAGCTGCTGCCTGACACCTTGATACCCCACGCCTTCTCCACCCACTTGGAGCCGGGAGGGGGTGGGGTAACTTCACAAGCCTCTCCCTCCAGCTGTGAAGAAGGATGTGTGTCTAATTGCTGTGAAAACTTCCTCCCTGAGGGGAGCAGACAGGGAGCCAAGGCAAGTGAGAAGCTGGGTTCTTGAATTGTAGAGAGGTGGGGGCTCTTCTCCGTGGTGGTGGGATCGGAATTCCTCCCCAGAGGGGGGAGTTCGCTTCTTGCTTTTCAGCAGGTGGAGGCAGGCAATACACCCTAGTGGTAACACCTTAACTTGTTTTCTTTACATCCTGTTTTACCTGCTAATCTTTGTATGGCAGGAGACTGGTCAGGCTGTCAGTGACTAGTAGGGCCTGAATACATCCACTCACAGATAATCCACAAATCTTATTTAAGCCAGCCCTTCACAGGGTGTTGGGTCAGCTAATCAGGAGGGTATACCGACTACATTTGAGCATCTTTTCCATTTCATGCATGTTCCCTAGTCCTGCCCCTAGGAGCATGAATGAGTAAGCAGTAATGAGGAAAAACCCCACAGCCCCAAAGACCCGTAGAAAGCTGGCTGGATTGTAGAGTCGGCGATGTCCTCCCCAGTGTATCCATTGACTGCCAGTCTGTGTGGTGTGGGTGTCAACGACAAAGCTGGGCTGTAGACCAGGGACACCTATGCACTTTGGGCTTCCTTGCTGTGCCAGGCTGCAATGTGCCAAGCTCCAGTTAGTGGGCCTTGGGTCAAAGAGACAGCATGAAGCAGCAACCACATTTTCTCCATATACAAGGATATAAATACAATGACGTGAGTTGTACCATTGTTGTAATAGGGGGGAAAATAAAGAAAAACAACTTAAAGGTCCATAACAAGTGGATGGTTAAAAGATTTGTGGCAGTCCCACACAATGGAGTTACAACAAAGAACACAGACGTCTCTGTGTCCAAGCTATATGGCTTGATAACCCAGCTAGTTGTGGTGTGGCAGTGAGATGCAGGCACCTCCCACCCTAGAAGTGGCTGCACTTTATTGGTGGGTTCAGGCTTTTTGTGGGGCTCTGGTCCTGCTGGTGGCTTATGAATAACATGGCGCCTCATAAAGAGTTTTCGCCCTAGAGAGCCTGGTGTGAATACGAGGTATTCATTAGATCTTCATGGTGGTCACCTAGAGGGAAAAGTCCCTTTCTTCTTTCCCAGCCCTTCCCTCTTCCCCAGCTTAATAATAGCCAAGAGGTTTAGGTTTCAACCTATAGATTAGTTCCGAGTGTTGAGCAGGAAACAGCTGTTTTTCAGCCAAATCCCTAATCCTAAAACCAGGTGTCCCCCTCCACCCCATCCCCAGGAGGGAATCAGGACCACCTGATACCATTTCCCTCCCCCATCCCCCTGACCCATGTGAACTTAGCCAAGGCAGGGAAAGACAGGCTAGGCCTGCTGAGTGCTATCAATGGTTAAACACACAGCCCCTCACTCCTCCCAGATCTCTGCCCCTGACAATGAAGGGGAGCCAAGCGTGAAACACAGCCAGTGAGCAGATGGAGACCACCCCCATCCAACCCTGAGGAGGGAGGAGGGGGAAGCAGGGAGTCAAATCCCATATACAGGGTTTCCTGGGCTAAGTGAAAATTCTAGAAGACAATGACTGGTTGACCCCACACCGGCCAGGAAGCTGGGTTTCTCTCCCTGAGTGTGGGGGAGGCCGAGGTCCTGAAGCAGGCTGGTGAGTGCTTTCCTCTGCTGCCAAGTCCTGCCCTGGAGAGTTTGGTATAGTTACTGCCTCTTCTAAAAGGGGAGGTGGGAGGATTGTGTGGGCAGACTGACTTTCTTAGAAGTTGCTGAGACATGGGGTCATTTCATCCAGGGTAAAGAAGAGATATGGTGAGATGTAATTCTGTGGCAGGTGCTCCCTGGGGAATGGGAGCTGGGGAGTCGCTCCCTGGGGAATGGGAGCTGGGGAGTCCCTCCCTGCCTCTTCCCCTTCTAATCTTATTTTCTTCCAGAGATCCCTCTTTCTCCACTTGCTTGGTGTTCTGTCTCTTTGGGATGGGCTAGGCATCAATAGGGGGCAGTTTGAGTTTCCTAGGAGACTCATAGTTCTGGCCTTCAGATGCCTGTGAGCTGGAAGGAATGGAACACGGCTGGGTCACCATCTGTTGCATCGTTCCTTCCTTGGCATGGGAGAGATGGAAGGGAGGTGGCCATGGGGATCAGAGGGCAGGAGGGGAAGTGGCGGACGGTGGCCCTCAGTCATGCCTAGCCGATCCCTGGGCTGAAGGCAGATTTCAGAACCCAGTGCAGCCAAGCCAGAGCCTCAGGATGAAAGAGAAAGGAAGAGACTGAGAATGGAGGTGTTGTTGATTCTGAGGCTGCTGCCTGGGGTGTCTGAATCCCTCAATTCTGAGAGTCTGTAGAGTGGAGCAAATAGGGTGACATTGAGTGTGGCCCTGACAGGTCAGACAGAAAGCTCTGAGAGTCAGCAGGGGGAGATTTGAGAAAGAAAGATGAGCATGTCTGCAGAGCCGGGGCAGGCTCTGCTACAGGGACAGGATGCTGGTTAGATGTTATTGTTAGGTTATTGCTTTTGTTGTTATTACTCAGGCTTATACTGTACAACAGATCTATCCCGTGTTATAGCAACCAAGGATTTATTGTACTGATTCATTGATGAGCTATTAAAATATCTCCCAGTAATAGGAAGTATCTGATAGGATGTCTGTCCACTCATCCCACGTGTGTTTATTGTACTGTCTCAGGAGAGACAAGACATGGACTCTGAGCTTAACATCAGAGTCTGATGCAGGAGATGGATTTGGGAATAAACTCATCCCATGAGGCAGGAGGAAATGACCAGTGGAACAGAGCATGGGGCATGCTAGGAAGCACAAGAGAAACTGCCACCCACTTTCAATGGGAAGGCAGCAACCCTGTTGTGGAGGGGTGGCCCACTTAGGGCCTTGGCAAAAAGGGAATTTGCACTGTGGAGAAGGAAGAGAATAGCATTTCTGGCGTCAGCAAAGTGGGAGCAGAGATGGCAGGAGGTGCAGAAAGCACGTGGCCTATACAGGCCTGGAGGCTGGTGTGGGGATATAGGAGGGCAGATGCTGGGAGAGGAGAAGCCACACAGGGGTCAGGAGCTGGGTCATACCAGGGCTTGAGGGCTGCTCTGAGAAGGCAGATTTTATCCCTCAGATTCCTGGATGACTTTTTCTGGACAAATCCTGGAGTTGTCCTGGATGACAAATGTAATAGAGGCTAGGCCCAGGCAGGACACACACTGGCTCCTTATTCTTTAAGAAGAAGAAAAAAAAAAGAATATGAATGAGAATGTAGTTATTATAATGTTAATAACCTGAGCTGCTCTGCAAACATTATTACTTTGTATTAGGAACAAATTTCTTGACAAATACATATGATCATTAGTTCCAACTAAAAGGAGCTGCTGCCTGTCCACATGGAACCCTCCATCCCAATGAGGGATAAATCTGAGCTCTTTTCAGATCTCCCGTGTACCCACATGCATACTCCTTAATTTTGTATACTTCTATTTCCTCCTATTTCAGCTCCTCTCTCTCAGTCCTGAACAAGTTGTTTCCAGGCAGCTGTAGTGATAAGCCCTGCTACATTTTTTTATCCCAATGCAGAATGGCTGAGTTTTGCATTGGCTCTGTTGGGCTTTTATTATCTCTTTGTTCCCCAACAATTTCCTGTGGCAGTGATGTGTGAATGTATTTCTCCCTTGGTTCTTGTAGTACTATTCTAGTCACTTGACTAGTTTATTCTAAGAACTAATTGCTGGCATGTGGCCTTGGTAGCAGTAATCTGTTGGTGTATCCCTAGGCACTAACTCATGTGCACAACCTTGGAATACCTGACGAACTGTTTCATTCATGGCTCTTAGACATTTCAAACTGAATATATTCTGTTCCATGCTTGTGATCTCCCTGCATCCCAGTGACTACCAGACTCACTCTCCCTTCTGTGTTCTTGGTGTCAATTATTAGAGTCATCCTAGTCCAGTTTCCCAAGCTAGAAACCTTGATGCCATCCTTCTTCTTGCTTCTACTACCGGTCAGTCATCAGATCCTATTCTAACACAAAAACAGTCCTCAACAGGCTTTGGAGAACATTAAACCATCCTTCTATCATGATCTCCCCTTTTCTCTCTCACTCTGACCAGGGCCACCTGTGGAATCTGGAAGAAGGCAAGTGAAGTGAAGCGGGAGAGGAGACATGGGCTGAGCAACCTCACTCTGGGCTTCACTCCCAGAATAAGGGGATACTATAAGGCAGAGTGTGGCCTGCAGCTAAGCCCCAGACCAGCCCCTGAGAGGCAGAATATAGGTCTCCGTTGGGTCAGGTTTACCCTATATTCAGAGAAAACATAAAGGTCTTGCTTTTAGTGACGTCACTTGAGTTTGTCAGGAAGGAATGCACTAAGAAAAAGTAAAAACAGCTTTATGTTCCTGTGCAGTATTTTATTTAGTTCTTATAACAACCATCTGAAAAAGTCAGTAATGCAGTAATATTTATTTCCATTTTTGAGATTTTTTAAAGGCTTGGAAAACAAGTAATTTGTAAAAGATAAGAGGCAGGATTGAAACCTTTACCTGGATCTTCCATTCCATAAATATTCCTTGCCAGGGACTATGCTGGCCACTCGGCACACAGGAATGAACAGGACACGGTGTCAGCCTCAAGAATTTCACTAAGATTGACAGCGTTTGCAAAAGGCATTTAAAAAAAAAAAAGAATTTCACAAAGTGGGGAGAAAGATTAAGTCAGAAGTTAGCAAACTACAGCCTCTGGGCCAGGTCCAGACCAATATCTGCCTGTTTTTGTCAATACAGTCTTATTGGAACTGAGACACGCCTGTTCACTCACTGTCTGTGGCTGCTTTCACACTGCGAAGGTAAAGTTCAGTAGTCGTGACAGAAAGTGCGTGCCTCACAAAGCCTAAGATAGTCACTATCTGGACGTTTACAGATGTTTCCCACCCTTAGTTTAAACATAGTTTTACCGCAGTGTGCCACATGCCCCAGAGAGGTAGATTTGTGGTTGAGTGGCACAGCAGGAGTGCAGGATTCTTCACTCGGCAGATGTCTGAGCAGAGTCTTGAAGACTGAGTAGGAATTGATCACATGGAAGGAGGAAAGATCCTTCCAGGCACAGGGGATCACATGTGTAAGGTATGGAGGCACAGATGGTGTGCTACAGCATGCAGTTAAAAAGCATTTGGGGTTGGTGGTGGGAGGGTAGCGGGGGCAGTTGGAGAGACCTGCAGGAGCCTGATCTCCAAAAACCTTGAGTGCTGCACTCAGAAGTATGGGTCTGATCTTATAGATTAATGGGATGATATGAAAGGGTTTTCAGAGGAGCACTGACATGATCAGATCAGGTGTTTAGAAAAGTCACTGGAATAGCAGCATGGAGAATGGATTGGATGGAGGAGACCAACTAGGAGGTTATTGCCGTAGTGTATGAGACATGTATGTGAAAGGTGAGATGGGGAGAATGCGGGGGAGATGGAGAATAAGCAACACTGGGAAGTAGACAGTCTGAGGGCCTTGATGCCTGGGTATGGGCTATGAAAAGGGGTGGGTTGTAAGGGCAATTCCCAGGTGTCTGGCTTGAATGACTTGGGTGGGTACCACCAACAAAGATGGGGACTGGAGATGGGGCACATGACCCCAATGGAGACACTGAATTTTAGGCAGAAGAAGAGAATCCGGCCATGGGATCAGTGTCACCATGGAGGCTATAAATGCCAGACCCAAGATGGGGCCTCAAAGTGATGTCTCAGAAGCCAAGGAAGAAAGAATATTAGGATAAATGGAGTGGTTAACAATTTTTAATACCTCCAGGAGGTTTGGCAAAATAAAGACTGAGAACACTAGATTCAGCCAGTGGGAGGTCAGGAGAGGAGAGTTAGAGGAGCATGAGGAGTGAATGGGAAAGGAAGAAGCCAAAAAAAAAAAGCTTTCAGAAGAGAAGAGATGGAGAAAAAAATTCTAGTATGCATATATAGGGAGGCTGTGGGATACAGAGAAGGATCTTTTTGTTATAAGATAGGAGAGGCTGGGCATGGTGACTCACGCCTGTAATCCCAGCACTTGGGGAGGCCAACGTGGGTGGATCATCTATGGTCAGGAGTTCGAGGCCAGCCTGGCCAACATGGTGAAACCTTGTCTCTACTAAAAATACAAAAATTAGCTGGGCGTGGTGGCAGGTGCCTGTAATCCCAGCTACTCGGGAGGCTGAGGTAGGAAAATCACTTGAACCCAAGAGGCGGAGGTTGCAATGAGCTGAGATCACGCTATTGCACTCCACCCCGGGCGACAGAGTGAGACTCCATTTCAAAAAAAAAAAAAAAAACAGATGAGAGAAACTTGAAGATGTTTCTCTGCTGAGGCAGAGAGCCAGTTGAGAAGAGTTTGGAAGTTCTGGGGAGAGCAGCATTTCATGGTCAAGGGCAGATCCATGCAGAAGCTGGGGCTGGTCCAGGTAGAGGTGGGCAGGAGGAAGGACACTTTTTATATACAGAAAGTGGCAGCATAGGTAGGCATCAACCAGCATTCTAAGGGCACTTCTGATTCTGACAGCACTGCCAGTTGCAAGTGATAGAAAATTCAACTCTAATTGGCTTGCAAATTAAAGAGAATTGTTAATGTAAATGTATATGTAATTAAAAACCCACAATAAGACTTGTTTCAGAAAATGTTCAATCAGTAACTCAAACAAGGACATGAAGGATTGAGTCTTCCTATGTCTTCTCTCTGCCTTCCGGGTTATCCTCAGATTTCACATGGAGACACCCTTTCCCACCCCCAACAGCTCCAGCCTCTCCTCTTACTGAAGATGACCACAGGGTCTTTTTCAGAAGAGAGGGGAAACTCCTCTTTCCCAGAGGTCTCAACAGAAGTCTTCATGAATCACATTGCCGCCTGCTGGAATAGATGCCCATTCCTAAACCAGTCGTGGTGGTGACAGGCTAGGAGATGGTAATTGGCTTAAACTAATCAGGGCCCAGCCCTGGAATTGGTGTAGGATTGCTCTGAGAAAGGGGTAGAGATGAATTCTCCGAAGAAAAATATGGGCACTGTGGACGGGAGGAGGATAGTATGGGTGCTGGCTATGCAGCCAGTAAATATGCACTAGAGTTCTCTGTGTGCTGGACGTTGTGCAGGTTGAACAAGACACTGTCTTAGCCTCAAGGAATTCATGGTGCAGTTGGGGAAACAGACAATTAATTGACACTGAAATCTAGCACTCATTATAGTGAATATATTCCAAAATGCTCTAAGAGCACTTAGGACGAGGACCTAATCCAGCCTTGGTGGGAAGGGATGGTGCCAGGAAAGTAAGGGAGACTTCCCAGAGGAGGTAGCACCTGACCTGAGCCTGGAAGATGGCAAAGAATTAGGAGAAAGAAGGAGAGCAGTAAAGGCAGACTAGGAAAGAAGAGTGATTGCCGTAAAGACAGTGTGGAAGTAAACAAAGATCACCCACATGAGAACAAGCGGAAGCTATTTATTCAGAGCTTGCTACAGCAAGGGAGTCAGCCACCATCACCTGCATTTGACAGAGACTCAGAGGCAGGCAGGGGAGTGGGAAAGCTTTGTCATGAGTGAAAGGAAGGCTCCAGATGTGTCTGGGAAACTGGAGATGGGCAAACTAGAAGTGGGCATCTTATGTGATTGGTTTGGGAACGTATTCAGCTTTCCTGGTCAGTTCTGAGTAGAAAGTGGCAGCAAGAAATAGGGGAGCTGACAGCACTGAGCAAGCCTGACTGTCCTGGGCTGGGTGCTGCAGAGCTTGTGTGTCAGGACTGTACTGTCATCTAGGGGCTGGCCAGCGTCTGATCTGTTCAGTCTGCATGGGGTATAAGTAGGAGTGATCCGAAATGGGATAGAGGAAGATGAGACTGGGCACCCCGGTCCTCAACACAAATGCAAAGGCTAGCGTGGGAAGGCTGGGGGATTTTCCAAGGCCAGCACTGCAGCCTTAGCCTGGCGTGTTCCTCCTCACACCCATGTCTTGCCGTTGCCCCCGTGCATCATGGCCACTGGGCACAGGGTTTTTGAATATGGAACATTAGGCTGCTGCACAGGGTTTCCAGTTCTTTCCTCCCACACTATCTTTATGTCAGTCACTCTCCTTTCCCAATCTGCCTTTACTGTGGTTCTTCCTTCACTCAACAGTCTTTTCTTCAAATAAAACCTTATATGAAACCCCAGTATAAAAACAGTCACTGTTGGCAGCTCTGGGGAGAGTGGGAGGGGGGTCCTGAGTCCCACCTGTTCTCCTCCTGCCCAATCCTCCTTGAAGAAGGCCCCTGAGTCATTTTCGGAAAACCCACCAGCTCCTCTGGACCCAATGTGAAAACCTAGCATTAACAGATTCCCTCTCTCTCTCTTTCTTTTTCTTTTTTTTTTTTTTTGAGATGGAGTCTTGCTCTGTAACCCATGCTGGAGTGCAGTGGCACAATCTTGGCTCACTGCAACCTCCACCTCCCAGGTTCAAGTGATTCTCCTGCCTCAGCCTCCCGAGTAGCTGGGATTACAGGCGTGCACCCCCACGCCTGGCTAATTTTTTATATTTTTGTAGAGATGGGATTTCACCATGTTGGCAAGGCTGGCCTCAAACTCCTGGCCTCAAGTGATCTGTCCACCTCGGCCTCCCAAAGTGCTGGGATTACAGGCGTGAGCCACCATGTCCAGCACTAACAGATTCTTAAGAAATCTTTAGCTCTGTCCTCACCCCTCTGGGTATTTTATGTTTTACCCCAGAGATGGCCATGAGGCTGGCTGCACAGGGTGGGGGTCTTGTTGAAAGAGTGTGGGGTGTCTGGTGTGCAGGCTGAGGGCTGGCCTCACTCAGAGGCTGTGGAGCCTCCTACCTGGCCTCCCCACTTCCACCCTGGCCCATTGACATTCTGCCCTCCATGTGGCAGCCAGAGTGGTCTTTACAAGCAAATCTCACCATGTCACTCTGGCTTCAAACCCTGCAGCCGCTTCCTATCATGCTTAGAATGTGCTTCAGGCTCCTTCTTTTGGCCTTCAGAGCTCTCCGTGAGCATGCCCTGGACTCTCTCTCTGACTGTGACTTGTTCCATTCTTGTCCTTGCGCCCTCCAAGCTCCAGCCATGCTGGCTTCTCTCAGTTTCTTGCATGGGGCAATGTGATTCCTGCCACAGGGCCTTTGCACAAGCAGCTCTTCTTGCCTGGGATGCTTTTCTGACCTGTCTTTGCAAGGTTAGTGCCTTCTTACCATTCAGGTCTTGGTCAGATGGCAACTTCTCACAGAGAGGCCTTCCTTGACCACTCGCTTCACTTTATTACATCACATCAATCACTACTGTGGTTTCTTTCTTTAAAAAAAAAAACACTTCTAGAGCAGTTTTAGGTTCAAGGTACAGAGAGTTCCCATGCACCCCATCTTCACACGTACACAGCCCCCTCCATTATCAACATTTCTTACCATACTAACGTGTTCGTTACAGTCGATGAACCTACATGGACACATCATTATGACCCACAGTCCACAGTTGATGTTAGGGTTCACTCTTGGAGTTCTATGGGTTTGGACAAATGTATTATATAATGACAAGTATCTACTATTAGGGCATCATACAGAGAAGTTTCACTGCCCTAAACACCCTCCTCTGTGCTCTGTCTATTCATCCCTCAACCTGCACCCCCAGCAACCACAGATCTTTCTAGTGTCTCTATAGTTTTGCCTTTTCCAGAATGTCATGCGGTTGTAACCACACAGTGTGCAGCCTTTTCAGACTGGCTTCCTTCACTTGGTAGTGTGCCTTTCCTTCATGTCTTTCCATGGCTTGGTAGCTCACTTCTTTTGGGCACTGAGTAATATTCCATTGGATGTACCTCCGTTTCTCCATCCGCTGATGGGAGAACGTCCTGGTTGCTTCTGTCTGGGTTTTGGCAAAATTATCAACAAAGCTGTTAAACATCCACGTGCAGGTCGGTTGTGTTTTCTCCGTTGCACTTATTGCTACTGGATTTTTGGTTCAACATATATTTACTGTCCTCCCTGCTGGGATGGAAGCTCCATGAGAGTAGAGGGACTTTGTCTCTTGTCCATGCATGTGTTCTCTAGAATAATCCCTGCCATCCAGTCGGCTATGTGAATGAATCCCTGCCCACTGCATGCAGCCCAAAAGTCTGAGATGGCTTTCCCTCCAGGAGACGAAGAGCTGCCAGCTGAGCCATGTCTCGACGCTGCCAGTCTTCTCTCCTTGTCACTTCAGATGTGTTGTGACCACCAGGACAGCCTGCCCAGAACGTGGCTGTGGGAATGTGAGGAGCTCCCGATGGCGACAGCTCGTGGGAGCCACGGGATCTCATCCATCTGCCAGGGACAGCTTGTGGAATCAACACCACGGGCCCCCAATGTGGGGAAAGAAACCAGGGCCCAGAAGAAAAGGAAAAACAGAAAAGCAGGCTGTGACCATGGATGCGTCATTATTACAGCCACTTACTACTCATATTGGTCATGTCGTGGAGGTGGACAGAATGCTTCCCTCATCCCTTTGAGCTCAAACCCACTCAGGGGCAGCAGCTGACATTTTTTAAGCATTTACGCTGTGCCCCATGCTTTACCAAGTGTTTTACATAGGAATTGTGTGATAAATCCTCACAGCAGCCTTCTAGAATTGGTGCTATTGTTATCCCCATTTTTCAGATGATAAATACAAAGCTTCCAAGCTTCAGTGCTTGCCCAAGCCCCCCACCCTGCCGCCGGCTCCCATACTTTTAAGTGGGAAGTGGCCTCAAACCAGGCAGTCTAACCATGCAGCCAATGCTCTCGAACTAGACAAGACACCACCATGTCCAGAGGTCTTCTACCAGGCAGATCATTAGCAAACTCACATGTGACATCTTGGACATTTTGAATCTGAATCACTCACAAGCCTTGCAGATTTAAAGGCCTTGTGTTCAGGCAGGTTGCCCATGTGTGTGGACCATCCCTGTGTGAGATAACAGGTTCTAAGAGCATTAAAAACAATCTACAACCTGATTTGGCCCCTGCCTAGAAGATTGAGGGCCCGGGAATCTGTATGTTTGAAGAGTGTCCAGGTGACTCTGAAAAGCATCCAGCCTTCCTCCTGTGTGGGAATGTTGTCAGTAACACACCTAACCAATGCCATTTGGAGTTTTTATGAAACAGTACTTAACATGGCAGAACATGTCACCTTCAGGTAGTTCTATTCTCTTTTCTTCCTGTATGGATGGATGTGTGTGTGTGTGTGTGTGTGTGTGTGTGTGTGTGTGTGTGTGTGTGTAGGGGGATTGGGAGACCTCAGATATACATGAGCTGAATTAATCATGTTCTCCAGTACTTAGTATACCATGCATCCACATAGGATTTATTTCTTTGTTGTATTTATTTTTGTTCTTTTCTGCACTCTCCCCCTGCCCCCTGCAATGAGCCCTCCTCTCATGTATTTTATATCCTTACAGCCTGCCTCTTATGTTATTATATATAAAAGGATCCTTCAAACATATCATATGTAGAGTATGTTTTTTCACTAATGGTATTGTGGCACGGCTGCATTTATCAGACAATTCTTCCTGTGACTCAAGGAAGCACCTGCCTTTCTGAAACATCCTCCTATTTGGTCCTAGCTTTGCCCCTGTGGAACTAAACAGAAAAATTCTACACTCTCTCCCAGCATGTGAATACAATCACTGTGGCCCCTCTTCTTCAGGCTCAACCTACCCCCTCTCCTCTACTTTCCCTCCTAGGATGTGGGAGTTTCCTGGTCCTCCCTGGGATGATCCCACTAGAACCAACCACCCCCACATCTGGATGTTGCACTTCTCTGCACCTAAGCAGTCACCTCTGGTGTGGTTGGAAGTGCTGGGAGAGGAACCCGAGAGGTGGCATGACTGGGCCCTAGGGCAAGACTGTGCAATGACTAAGGTTGAATGGGAAGTGTGGACTTGATTGCTGTAGGCTAGCAAGCCTGTCCCTTTCACCTTTCTTCCTGGTCATCAGGACAGGGGAACTGTAAGCCTTGCTGATGTAGGGGTACCTTCAGGCAGGGCATCTCTGCTGTCACTCTATGTTGGGTTCTTTGAGCTCAGTACTAGAACTCTCATACTCAGAAAGATGGTGGATTCATTCCTTCCTTTGACTTGGATGGAAATTTCCTCAGAATGGATGGCAGGGGTTGCAAACCATGTGCCTGCCTTCCATGCTGAGTGAGCCCAGCCTGGGGAGCTGAGGGCCCTATATGCTCACATCAAATAATCTGTCCTCTTCATCCTCTGTCCCATCTTTATGAGCACATAATGGAGGCCAATATTATACTTTTCTTTTTTGTTGAGGTGAAACATAAACCGTTTTAAAGTGCACAGCTCAAAGCCGGGCGCGATGGCTCACACCTATAATCCCAACACTTTGGGAGGCCGAGCTGGGTGGATCACCTGAGGTCAGGAGTTTGAGACCAGCCTGGGCAACATGGTCAAACTCTGTCTCTACTAAAAATACAAAATTTAGCTGGGTGTGGTGGCACATGCCTGTAATCCCAGCTACTTGGAAGGCTAAGGCACGAGAATCACTTGAACCCAGGAGGTGGAGGCTGCAGTGAGCCGAGATCATGCCACTGCACTCCCGCCTGGGCAACAGAGTGAGATTCTGTCTCAAAAATAAATTAATTAAATTAAGTGCACAATTCAGTAGCATTTGGTCCATTCACAATGTGTGCACCCACAACTCTATCCAGTTCAAAACATTTGCATCTCAAAAGGAAACCTCATACCCATTAACCAGTTTCCCTCCTTCTCCCTTCCCCTCTGCCTCTGGTCACCAAAGACAATCTGTGTTTTGTCTCAGTGTATGTATCTATTCTACAGATAAGACCTAGACATGTCATATCTATGGGATCATTCCCTGTGACCTTTTGTGCATGGTTCTTTCACCGAGCGTGTTTTCAGGATTCATCCATGTTGGAGCATGTCAGTATTGAATTCCTTCCTATGGCTGAGTCATATTCCAGGGTATATACATACTGGAATTTGTTTATCCATTCATTCCTTAGAGGACATGTGGGCTGTGTCCACCCTTTGGCTGTTGTGCATGATGCTGCTGTGAACATTTTGTGTACATGTACTTGTTTGATGCCTGTTTTTAATCCTTTTGCACATATACCTTAGAATTGCAGAGTCATATGGTAATTTTATGTCTAACTTTTTGAGGAACTGCCAAACTATACATTTCTTTTTTAAATAGCAACCTTACTCTGGTACTTTTCCTGTATATACAAAGAGAAAAATGGGTGGAAAATCCCTGGACTAGGAGTCAAGAAACCTGGGTTCTTTTTCTACCTTTGCCACTAACCAGCTAGGTAAACTCAAACCAGTCACTTCCCTTCTCTCGGCTTTTGTTTCTTCATCTGAAAAGAAAGGGGATTGGATGAATCTAGTGTTCTTTAAATTCTTTTCCTCTTGTAAGGTTTTGTTGGAAAAACTGGGTTCCAGAGAGGAAAGAGGGAGAGAATTGCTACACAGCTAAATGTGATTATCTTGAGATTCTTTTTCCACTCTATTGCTAAATAGTGAATTTAAAATATCCCATACAATTGGGCTTTTTTTTCTTGCCAATGTGTATCTGATTTAATGAATAGCTTCTGGCTTCCTAATTCTATCAAGAGTCCCAAAATAAAATATCCGTCTCTTTCCCTTCACTTCCTACTGCTTGGCAGCTCCTAAACCAAACATGGTGGTCGTGGAGCCCGGATGGGAGCCATCCCTGCTGCCCCTGCTGTGCCTTCCTCTATCGCAGGTTCCCTCAGCACTAAGGGTTCAGTTGCCTGATCTGAGTCTGGTCTTTGGAGATGTATAAGCCAAGGAGAGGCATTAGTGGATTCTTTCTGCGACAGTATAAGGACCATCTTAGAGAGTTGGGAAGGTGAACCAAAGACCTCCTGTGATGCCTTCTAGCCAGAGGGTCCCTCCTTGGGAGATTTTCTACTCTCTTAACCCTCTTTCAGCTTGTTGGTTTCCTCTCCAGAGAGCACCGTCTGTGTAGGGGCGGATTTTTTTTGTTCCACTAATGAGTAGCCTTCACAGTATGCCACCCAGGTCCACAGCATGTGCTCTCCTGCGCCGCCTGGTGGTTTTCTGGGGAAACGTGAGGTTTTAAAAAGCACATGATGGTCCAAATGGCTTCTTATTTCATCCATTTAATCATTCGTTCATTTTTTCATCCATCCATATGTCGATCCCTCTCACAGTTTTGAGGATCTGCTATGTTTTAGGTACTATGGTCGATTCTAAGAATAAAACAGTAAACAAGATAGGGTACCTTCCCTTATAAAAAAGCTTTCATTTTCATAGGGGAGATAGACAAGTGGCTTTTGGAATGAATACAAAGTGAAATGTGCCATAATGGGGGAAGTAAAGGGTGTGCAGGAGCACAGATGAAGGACACGTATGTCATACCTGGCAAATACTAACGAGAGAGGGCAGACACAGAGTGTTCTAGACCAGAGCTTAATGGTGCAAAAGTCAGTAAGCAAGACCAAGCATGATGTACCGAGGGAGCTGGTAGAAGAGCAGTCTTGGCTGGAACACAGGATGCAAGGGAGAGATGAGCAGTGAGCTAGCAGAGGGGATGCATTATGCAGGGCCTCTGAGCCATGTCAAGGACACTACCTTTAACTCCCAAGCAGCAGTGAGCTATTGAGAGTTGCACTAGGGGAGTAGCACATTTCTGTTTGCCTTTAGAAATAACAGCTTTGGTTATGAGTGGAGAGTAAATCAGAGGGGCATATCACACTGCATCCCATAAATGCGTACAATTATTATGTGTCAATTAAAAATAATAAAGTAAAAAACAAACCACAGGGGGGAAAAGTGGACCTGGAGAGACCACTTAGGAAGCTGTTGCAGTAACTCTGGCATGAAATGTTGGTGATCAAAACCACGGTGGTGGCAGTGGGAAAGGAGGCAAGTGGAGGAGTCCAGAAATATACACAAAGTTGAGGTTTGGTGCTGGGCCCAGCTTCTGGGAAAGAAACTGCAAAAATGTGAATAAGAATCCTTTAGTTTGCCCCATATCCTGGCACAAGGGAAGTCCCTTGTCCTATTGCAATAATCAGTGACCTGCTTTTTGCTCCAGGTCTCCAGAAGGATGGCCTTGTCTCCCAGGATCTCTCGCCCCCTCAGAGAGCAGGCACTGGAGTCCTGTTCTTATCTTCTGCACCCTCAGTCAGGGTGGATAGGAGATGGTGCATGTGCACAATTGAGAGTGGGCTTCAATTTGCTGCCGAATAAAATAGGAGCAGGAGAATGATGTGTCCATCTGATAGGTAGCTATGAATCTAGGAAAACTGGAGGAATTCTGGAGAAGCCACCTCCTGCCTTCCTCTTTGACTTGCCACCACAGTAGAATAACAAACTGGACCAATTTTTTAAAGTGTATGTTTCAGAACCTCAGGCAATCTTAAAGCACTCTATTTGAGTCTCAGCTGTAGGCCATTCTTGCTCTTCTCTTTCTAGAGGAGGAGAAGAAAGGTTTGTCTCTAAGGATCCATTCTAGGTTCCTTGGACAACCATTTTTAACACCATCCCTGTAAGCCCTGGAATGATTTCTTGTGCTTGAGGATGAACACTGAATCATCATACATGCTGTTTACTCTACCAACCACCTGAAGCCCGCTTCTTCCTGGTCATTGTCTCACCACTGCCGTTATCTATAAAAGGACAATATCAGGGACCACTGTACCTTAGCTGCACAAAATACTTGCAGAAATCATTCATTTTTCTACAAAAATGACAAAAAGTCCTTTGTGCGCCAAGTCTTCACTTATCTAACCCATGATCCCCAGTCCTGCCAATGTCACCCTGCCCCCTTCGTCCTGGGATCAAAGGACATCAGTGCGATCTCATCTCTGTGCCTCTACCGCAAATATGCTCAACCCCAGGCACACTCAGCACATGTGGTTCAGAGAGGCTGTGAGATTGGTGCATTTCTTACCAGATCGGTGCATGGCATCTTCTGGTTGCTGGGCCTGCAGGCCAATAGGCCAATGTTTGTTTTCATGACTGTTCTTTGCAGAGTTGCCCTTCCTTCTCTAACAGTGGTTTTCAGCTGGGAGTTTTGCCCTCCAGGGAACAATTGCCAATGTCTGGAGACATTTCTGATTGGTAGTGGTGAAGGGGGTGGGCTGTACTGGCTTCTATCGGGTAGAGGTCAGAGATGCTGCTAAACATCTTACAATACCCAGGACAGTTCCCCAGGCCAAGAATTGTTCAGTCCCACGTGTCAGTAGTGTTGAGGTTAAGAAACTCTGCTCTATCTAGAACATTACTCTGTGACCAAGGGGGCTCTTCGGTCCTCCAAAGCCCTGTAGGATTGCTAGAGCAAACCACAAGTTCATGAAAAACTCACTTGCTCTTATGTTTCTTTCCACAGCTGAGTGCTGTCCAGGAGGCCCAGTTAAAGCGGCTCGAGGTGACAAGACCCCGAGTGCTGGGGAGCAGGGAGCAGGGCCAGGTGCCGAGGATGGCCAGGCAGCCACCGCCGCCCTGGGTCCATGCAGCCTTCCTCCTCTGCCTCCTCAGTCTTGGCGGAGCCATCGAAATTCCTATGGATCGTGAGTCCTGCCCCATTCTCTTCTCTTTTTTTTCCTGATTTTGGGCAGAGGGGTGGGAGGGGAGGGAAGGTCAGAGGAAAGTTCAGATAATCCAAGGAGATTGAGGAGAGGGGACGCAGTGGATTCTGAGATTCAGAGCTGGGTTTCTCTCCAAAGAATTGACACAGGCTCATGTTTGGAAGTTTGAGACTGTATGTTGCAGAGCCAGTTTCTCAGGGCTGTGGCTGAGCTGATGCTTGGGGTGCCTGGAGCCAGCTGAGTGGGACTAGAGGTGGCGGAGTTTGGGATTCTGAGTGCCACTTGGGTTTTTCCCTCTGCTCACCTCTCCAGGTCCTCTGTGGTCTTGACTTGCCCATGAAAGCAGTCCAGGGTCAAGTGTGGTGGAGCAGTTCTTACTTGCCTTTCTAATGTCTGATATATTCAAATCCACACCCTTCGGGCCCTCTTGGCTGGAGTAATCAGGAGGACACAGGCCTGGGAAGGGCTGGGAGCAGAATTATCTTTGCAAAAGACATGGCTAAATGAGACATTAAAATAGAGCCCCATTATCATGCCGCATGGGAGAACCAGGCATGGATTCCTTCTCATTGTTTTCAACTTTCCTGCAGTAAAGATAAAAAGTAAAATCGCTGTCATTCTGTTTCTCATAGAGGGGGCATTATTTGACCATCAGAATCATAAAGTAAGGGGCTTAAAATGCAAATCTAACAGCCATGTCTCCACCAACCATATCTGTTGCTGCGTTCATCAATGGCCCATGTATTGGCAGCCAAGCTCCTCGGCCCTGCCTTTAGGTGTGTGCCACCTTTACCACAACTCTGACACTTCTGGCAAAATGTCTTAGCATCCCCAGGCTAGGATGTGAGCATGCCATCTCTGACCCCTGTTCCTTGTGTCAAGGAACAGAGGGGACCCACATGACACCAACATTGGCTTGGGCTCTCTCCAGTTAACAGATGTCTGGGGAGGGGGGCAGGAGAGTAATACAAACTCTAAAAAGTCGTCCCTGAGCTCTCCAAAGCCAGACCCCTGGTCCTGGAGTTACCACAGTTTGGAGAAGAGTTGGAGGTATCTCAGCCCTCCTGGCACTCTACTTCACCCATAATAGCTGCCCCTGCCCCAGAGGAGGGGACTTTTTGGATGATAGAACACCAGTAGTAACTGTAAGTCAGACCCAGAGGTAAGATGGGCAAAGCCCCTGCTGCCCTCCCAATACCCCCAGGCATGTGGACTTGAATGTATGTGTGCATATGTATGCATGCCCACACACGTGTGCATGTGCACAGGGAGGGAGGGAGGGAGGAGAGGAGAGTTGTGAAAGGACCTGTTCCCATGGTAACTGTCTGCGAGGCTGGCTCGAGGAGAGTTTCTCATTAACAGTCCCAGGCAGACAGTCTAATAAGGAGCCTGGTAAGGCCAAGTCCCCGGAGGGAGGGTGTGCAGAGGAAATTGGGTTATCAGGGAAGTGGTGAAGGCTCATTTCTCTTCTGCCACTTCTCCTCTCTCACTCACCTGCTGCTTTGATCCCCAGGGCCAGTGGGTGAGGGGTCCCTGCAAGGTGAGCCTATAAATAGATGGCTTTGGTGTCTATCTTAAGAATCTGGAATTCTAAAGCTCTACAGGAAACGGAGACACAGCAGACACCCCAAGCAGTCAGGCTCTCCAAAGCCCCACCTGTAGGGTAGAGCTGAGAGTGCCCTGATCTCCCCACCATCTCCCCATTCCAGTGTCCCTGGGACGACCCCCACCCCACGTTGTGTTCGCGGAAACTCAAGCCTTTGCTAGCTTAGAGTCACACAGCAAATGGTTGGTGGAAACAAAAAAGAAACCACTGGAATCGCAGGTGTCATGCACCAGGAAGTGAGCTAAGTGCTGCATGTGCCTCATCGCACATGGTTCTGGCAGCTAACCCTCAACATAGGTGTTATCCTTAGCCTGCGGGTTAGAGACAAGGAAGCGACAGAGCCGGGATAGGACCACAGCACCTCTCTGATGGAGAGGGAAGTCCTTCTGCAATGCCATTCCAGATGCTCTGGCTGTGTCGGGGCAGGAGACCCAGGCTGCCCGGAGCATGCCCCACACACATGGCACCTCCCCGGTTGCTGCAGGTCCAGTGGCCCTGGCAACGTGTCCAAAAAGAGTCTGCAGAAACTGAACACACTTTCCCAGTGGCCACCGAAGATGACAGGGGATGAGGGGGCAGGTCCTGGCACTCTATGGCCGAGGCCATCTCCTGGGCCTCCTGTACTGCTGGGCTGGAAGGTGGTGGTCATGTACGGCGAGGGCATTGGCATTTCTGGCAATTTCTATAGAAACAAGTTAAAGTACCTGGCCTTCCTCTGCAAGTGGATGAACACCAACCCTTCCCGAGGCCCCCACCATCCCTGGGCTGCCAGCCTTCTTTTTCGGCAGACCCCACGGGGCATGCTACCCCACAAGACCAAGCGAGGCCAGCCGCCCTGGACCGCCTCATGGTGTGTGATGGGATCCCACCGCCCCTGACACAAACAAGCAGATGGTGATCCCTGCTGCCCTCAAGGCTGAGCATCTGAAGCCCACAAGAAAGTTTGCTTGCCTGGGGCACCTGTCTCATAAGGTTGACTGGAAGTACCAGGCAGTGATAGCCACCCTGGAGGAAAAGAGGAGGGAAAAGGCCAAGATCCACTACCAAAAGAAACAGCAGCAGAAACAGGCCCAAAAGAACGGGGAGAAGAAAATTGCAAGTTCACAGGGGTCCTCAAGACCCATGGGCTTCTGGTCTGAGCCCATAAAGACTGTTTATTCCTCAAAAACAAACAAACAGAATAAAGAAGCTGAATGCAAGACAGGAGGCCAGCCCTTCAGAGAGGCCCCCGGCTGCCCTGGGAAGAGGCTGTCCTCAGCAGGTCTCTCCATCTCACTGGGCCCAGCACCACAGACCTCCCATGTGTGCTGAGCTGAGCCCACCCTCCATCCAGCCCTGGGCTGAAGGAAGATCAGGCATTCTTAACGTTCTCGCCCTGCCAGGTGTTCTTTCTACTCATTTGCCCCTTCAGTGGACATTATCTGTGTCTCGAGGGCAGGGGCACTGCTTCTATTCTGGAGAGGCTGGGCGCCGCAGGCCTCCTGGAGCAGAGCCCCAGACCGCTGCACAATCCCTCATTGAAGGCCCAGCCTCCAGCTCCCACTGCTGTGCCAGTGAAGTCACACGCACCCCTCCCACCCATCCCCTCCCTCCCTCCCTCCTTCCCTCCCTATCCAGCCCCAAGGAGAACAGTATGACCTTTGAAAAAAGCCAAGGGTCGCCTCATCAACCAGAGTGAGTTTGCCAAAAAGTGGGTCTGCTGGCCCTTTTGTCCCTGGCCCTGCATCAGGGGACAGCATTTTCCTCCCAGAAGTGGCAGAAACAATTCCTTCCCACCTTCATCACAAATAACACTGCAGGATGGCCTCAACTCATATGCACACTCTCACACATACATGCACATTCACACATACACTCACGCTCACACCTGCTCACTCATGCACACTCACACCCACTCACACTCACACCCTCACATATCCTCACATGCTCACACTCATGCACACTCACACGTGCCCTCACATACCCATATGTGCTCACACTTATGCACACTCACTCCCACTCACACACCTCAATCACACGCACTCACGTGCTCCATCTCCTGAGGGATGGGTGCCAGAGGTCATAGGTATCAGAGCCAGGGAAAGAAAAGAGGCACACGAGTAAAGAAACCTCGCAGACCGAGCAGGCATCTGCCTAACTCCCTGCAGAGCTGGGCTGGAAGAGCTATGGAATTCACTTTCCACTGCTCCATAGAAGGCGAGTGGTGTGACACTGGGTGGGAGCTTGGTCACCCTCATCCGTACAAGCTGTCCCCACTGTCTTCTCCCTGTGGCAGCTTGTCTTCTGGGTTGGTTCTGTCCCTGTAAGAAATTCCTTAGTAGCACAGTGGTGGCTGCAGACGCCATCCCTATAGTCAAGTAGATTCTCCAGAGGTCCTTGGCCTGATAGTATGGGGGCTGGGGACAGCATCCAACCAACTCTTGCTGCCCTGAGAGTCTCCAGCACCCACAGTCTCCCCTCTCACTCACCCTTCTCCAGAATGTCAAGGAGAGCAGAGTCCTGAGGCCCCAGCTGGCTCGCTCACCTCTCTGGCCAAGGATGGATTTGTTAAAAACAAAACAAAACAAAACAAAAAACTCTGGACCAGGCACTGGGAGAGCTGGTTCTCCTTCTAGCTCTGCAGCAAACTTCCTGTATGATCTTGGCCGAGAGACTTCTTCCTTGGATCTGGAGATTCCCTGGACAATGTCTAGGGCTCTTTCCATTGAGTCAGCCTTCGATTCTATAAAAGAGAGGCTTGAAGTCTTGAATAGGCAAAGGAGGTCCCTTGTCAGGCTTGCTAACCAGGGTGAGACCCCAAAAATGTCCTGAATGAAGAAGCTAAGGGCCTGGGCTAAGGGCCAAGGGGAGCGGGTCCCAGTGACAGCCCCACCTCTCCTAAGAATGGCCCCTTCTCCCCACCCAAGCCAACTGGAGTTACCTTTCTTGGGGCCCTGGCAAGAATATCACATATGGGTGAAGATGCTGTGGAGACGAGCTCCGGGGAGCATGTGTTCAGAAGCCATAGATTTTTGCTTTCCCCCTGGACTTTTCATTCCTTTGTCTCCTGCCCAGGCAGCCCTGGGCAAATGGCGAAGCAAATGTCTCTTCAGTCTTCTAGGGGCCACACGAAATAATTATTTTGGATCTTTTCATGAGTCTTAGTCTCAAGATTTTCCTTCATGCATAGCATGTACGGCAGGGCCCTTGTCCTGCCACACTCTGCCCCTCCTCTGGGATCTCTCTTCCCTTCCCTGCTGTGGCTCTTCCTGCACCTCTTGTTCTGAGCTTAACTCTGGCTTCTCCAGGCTGCCCTCTCTAAGCCCCCAGAATCCTCGCCACATCTCACTCAAGTCAAGTAGGAAGGCTTCAAAGTCACCATGGCTTTGCCCTGATGCTGGCAGCTCGCAGCTCCCCACAAGGAGCCCTCACTCTGAAAAAGTCAGCCTGCAACAACAGTACAGTAGTCTGCACCTGCATGAAATGAGAATGCCATGTTACTTTCTGATATATTCATCAGGAAAAAACATTTGAAAGTCACAGCAACACATGTTCCCTTTTCTGCACATTTTAACCAAGACCTTGTCCCCACAAAAAGCACACCATCTAAAACCTTCCTATGCAGAGTGTGGTTCACACACCACCAGCATGGCATTGCCCCAGCACTTGTCAGAAAGGCAGAGTCCCAGGCCCCACCCCAGCCCAACTGAATCAGAACCTGCATTTTAACCAGCCCCCAGGTGATGCATGTTAAAATTTGAGAAGCCCAGACCTCAGATACATACATCCACCTGCACAGGAGCACACCTATACAAGCACATGCACACTTCAGGTAGGAGCTGGGGGAGATTTGTGCCACCTGCCTCCTTACCTTCTTTGTGAAAAGCACAGAAAGGAGCTGTAGCCTCTGCTTCATCTCTGGAGCCTCCCATTGAGAAGCATGATTTCTATAAGGCAATGTACCATGAATAGAAGCAATGTACCATGAAAGGGGCATTTGCCTCTAGAGTCTTCCATAGGATGGGAAAGGAGGAGATGCCAAGGAGAGAAGGTGTCGTGGGAGAAATGAGGCCTTGGAGCTTTGCTCTGCAGCAGTGTTTCCAATCCACTCCCTTCCTGGCACCTGTCTTGCCCTCAGCCTCTCCTGTTCACTGTTGGCTGAGGAGCCCACTTCCCTCAGTGGCATCAGATGGAGGGAAATACCTTCAGGGCCTCTTTCAAGCAGCATTGTCACTTGGGGACATGTGGACTTCCTGGTGACACTGTCCTTTGATCAGAGCCAGTCTTTCTGCCCAACTCTGTGGTTTTGGTCACCCAGGGGAGGCGTCACCTTCTCCATAAGGCACTCACTGGGTCCGTTCCCCAACCCTGCTTGGTTCTTGCACTGGGCTTTGCAGCCAGGAGGAGAGAGCCCTGTGCTCAGCGCCCTCCCCAGGCACACCCCGCCCACTCCCTGTGTGCTGGGGCGTGAGGATGCCTGGGCGGTTGTGTGCATAACGATGTTCTTCTTTTCTCCCTCTCCAATGCTAACCCGTCGGAACTAACAGCAAGCATTCAGAATGAGCGTAAGTGCCCTGTGTGCCTCTCTGTGCCTCTGGGAGTTGGGAGGGAGGAATGAGGCATGAGGTGATACCTGGGGATTAGTGGCCTGCTGGGACTTCTGCTGGGGCCTCTTCATACCAGAGCCCTGTAGTGAGGTATCTTACTGCGGGGGAAGGAAGGAGGCTTGCCTGCAGCATTCTCTTGCTGGGAAAGACAGAAGGGCACGTGGTAAGAAGAGGGTCATTGGATCGAAGCTCATGTGCACCACAGCTGTTTCCCCATCCTCCAGTGGCTGGCACAGGACCCCAGGGTAGCACACTGGCACTTGGGACCTAGAAGGGGAGGATCTGGGAAGTTCTTGGGGACTGAAGGCCCTCTCTGCTCTAGCCTCACCATAGTTTGGCCGTTTGTTGAGCCTCCAGGGCTCAGAACCACCATGACCCCTAAGTTCTGAAAATCTAGCTGCTTTTTCTTCCTTTATTCATTCAACAGACATTTATCAAAAACTATTGTGCACTGTATGTTGTGCTAGGCATTGTAAGGTAAGGATGAGTAAACTAAAAGTCTGGCCTTCAGTTTCTCCTCGGGATGCTATGGGATTTTTTTTTTTTTTTTTTTATGGAGTCTCGCTCTATCGCCCAGGCTGGAGTACAGCAGCACAATCTGGGTTCACTGCAGCCTCAGCCTCCTGGATTCAAGTGATTCTCCTGCCTCAGCCTCCCGAGTAGCTGGGGTTATAGGTGCTCACCACCATGCCCGGCTAATTTTTTTTTTTTTTTTTTTTTTACTTTTAGTAGAGATGGGGTTTTACCATGTTGGCCAGGCTGGTCTTGAACTCCTGACCTCAGAAAATCCATCCGCCTCAGCCTCTCAAAGTGCTGGGATTACAGGTGTGAGCCACCATGCCTGGCCTATGGGATTTTTTTTTTTTTTTTAAAACAGAATATCGCTCTGTCGCCCAGGCTGGAGTGCGGTGGTGCGATCTCGGCTCACTGCAAGCTCCGCTTCCTGGGTTCTTGTCATTCTCCTGCCTCAGCCTCCCGAGTAGCTGGGACTACAGGCACCCTCCACCACGCCCGGCTAATTTTTTGTATTTTTTAGTAGAGACGGGGTTTCACCGTGTTAGCCAGGATGGTCTCGATCTCCTGACCTCGTGATCGGCCTGCTTCTGCCTCCCAAAGTGCTAGGATTACAAGCGTGAGCCACCACGCCTGGCTGCCTATGGGATCTTTTTAAAGGGATTCTTCTTATGCTTAATCTTTGACACCCACCTTCTTTCCTGCGGCACCATTTAAGGAGCTGGGTCTCTAGAATGGGGCCCTGTTCACCGCCCCCCACACCCCACCCACTTGCCTGCTTGCATGTGTGGCTTCTGAAGCTCTTCATCTCAGCTGTTCCCCAAGCTGGACCCCAGGGAGGTCCCTGCAGCCCTGACCATGCTCCCTGTGCACTGTTGCAGTGACGCAGCCGCCAACCATCACCAAGCAGTCAGCGAAGGATCACATCGTGGACCCCCGTGATAACATCCTGATTGAGTGTGAAGCAAAAGGGAACCCTGCCCCCAGGTGAGTGAAGGGGAAAAAGAGTGCATTGAAACCACCCGCTTGCCTCTGGGCCTGATGATAACTAAGGCAAATGAGGCAGCAGGAAAATTGGACTCATCCATTCCAAAAAATTTCCATTAGGCACCTACTAGGTGGAAGGCATAATTGAGGTACCAGGAAATTTTGCCGGTAAGCAAACTGGAGACCAGAAAACAAGTGGCTTAAGTTCACACCAAAAGCCAGGACTGGATGTTCAGTTTTCTGACTTTCCGTATAACATTCTTTCCTCCACGCTGTGTTCCCATCATCTGCCCCACGTTTAGCTTATAGGAAGTTCCTTTTCCAAGCCAACTTGAGTCTTTCATTCTGAGCTTGCCTCTACCTGTTTATGTGCTCATTAAGACCAAGTAAGATGTCAACAGACATGAATTAAAAGCCTGTTGTGTGTGTGTCCGGGCTCTGTGTTAGGTTCTGTTACTCACGTTTTGTTCGACCACCTAACAGTGCTCTGGGGAAGGACCGATGTCCTTATGAAGAGGAGGGGAAAAGGGGTACAAAGGTCCAAGGTTACCCAGCTTGAAAGGGGCAGAACCCAGATTTAAACTCATGCATTTCTACCAAATGATAAGCATCGGAGACATGACAGACGTTATTATCTGCCCCCATCCCCATCCTCAAAGTAGCATCTACAGACTGAGCCTTTCAGGAGCCTCATGCAAGATTCAGACCCGTATGTGACAGGACCACATCTAGGGTGTGTCTGTCAGCAGGAGAAATGAGGCCAAGCAGAGGCAGCCAGGTATGCAGCAGCTTTATTCTGGCCTCCTGGGTTCACACAAGACAGTCTCAAACCCAGAGCTCTGAGCCTGGGAACCAGCAGGGACTCTCTCGCTGGCCGTGGGAGTCACCCTGAAGGGTTAGTCAGGGTAATGGTAACCTCACTTGCTTCTGAGGTTTGGTCTTTCCCCCATGGTTCCTTTGCAGAGACAATAATCCTGTGGCACTGAGCAGCCCCTGCTGTTCCAGCTGCTCCTGCTTTCCCTGCTTCTTTTACAAGTTAGATTGTGGGCATCTGAGGATGTGAGGCCTTGGCTGCAGCTCCCAGGAGGAGCAGAGGGGGCCATTCTAGTGCTCTTCACCAGTGGCTCAGTTCTACTAGGCTGCCATTTCTTTAAAAGCTGCCACTGTTTTTTTGTTTGTTTGTTTGTTTTTTCTAATTGAGACGGAGTCTCGCTCTATCCCCCAGACTGGAGTGCAGTGGTGCGATCTTGGCTCACTGCAAGCTCCACTTCCCGGGTTCATGCCATTCTCCTGCCTCAGCCCTCCCAAGTAGCTGGGACTACAGGCACCCGCCACCACACCCGGCTAATTTTTTGTATTTTTAGTAGGACGGGGTTTCACCGAGTTAGCCAGGATGGTCTCGATCTCCTGACCTCGTGATCCACCCACCTCAGCCTCCCAAAGTACTGGGATTACAGGCGTGAGCCACCGCGCCCGGCCAAAAGCTGCCACTCTTGGGCTACAGGGTGTGGTCACTGCTATATAATCTGTACTCACTGAGCAGGGCACAAGTAACCTAAGCCGTTTCACTTTGGCTTTAAAATGGATTGTAAAATTAAGGTGGCAGGAGGAGCAGAGCCAACTCCCTGAAGTATTTAGGTTGGGTGGAATATGAATTCAAGTTTGCATTCCTAGTAGAAGGTTGGAAATGTCCTGGGGTGGAAGAAGCCACAGATTCTAGATTCTAGAAATGAAAATCTCTCCTCAATAACGTGTTTAACATAACCCCCGAGTAGCTACTTCAGTATCTAACACTTAGAGCCACGAGTCCCAGTCTTAGGTGGGTAGAAATACTAACGTCAGGCCCCTGCCCTGGACAGTCACTTGGGTGGGACCTGGGACTTTGCATTTTATTGAGCTCTCCAGATGGTTCTTCTGCTCAGCCAGGCTGAGACCTGTTGGTATGGGGTGCCACGATGGGACTGAGAGAGGGAATTTTGGTACTGAGCCAGGGACTAGGGATCTGAGATCTGCCTGGAGCCCAGAGCCCACCCCATTCGTCTTGGTTGCCACTGCTCCCCACTCTCCACAGCTTCCACTGGACACGAAACAGCAGATTCTTCAACATCGCCAAGGACCCCCGGGTGTCCATGAGGAGGAGGTCTGGGACCCTGGTGATTGACTTCCGCAGTGGCGGGCGGCCGGAGGAATATGAGGGGGAATATCAGTGCTTCGCCCGCAACAAATTTGGCACGGCCCTGTCCAATAGGATCCGCCTGCAGGTGTCTAGTGAGTAGCGTGGGGCAGGGCTGAAATGCCCTGCTCCTGGGTAAATGGAGAGTGGGGGGTGTGGAAGGCCATTCCAGAAGGGCTGCCCCTGCCCTTGGCCTGCAGTTGCCTTGGTGTTCTCTATGCATCTTCCCCACCTCAGAATGATTCCCTGGAAAGGAAGCTCCCAAAGCTTCCTTTTGAAGTTGTTGTCTGCAACAATTTCACTGGCCACTGCGGGCACAGGAGACGGGAAAGGAGGGGAGCCTTGAAGATGCCTCCCTTCTCCTGCCTCTCAAGGGCGGCCCCTTGAGTAGGCTCACGTGCCCCGTCCCTCTCTCTTGCTCCCTCCTTCTCCAGGTGCCCCTTCTGTTTCTCCTCCTTGCATGCCTGCCTCTGACCCTGCTCCTTGCCCCGGGCCCAGCCATCACCCTCACTTTATCCTCTTTGTCCACTTCTCTCCAGAATCTCCTCTGTGGCCCAAGGAAAACCTAGACCCTGTCGTGGTCCAAGAGGGCGCTCCTTTGACGCTCCAGTGCAACCCCCCGCCTGGACTTCCATCCCCGGTCATCTTCTGGATGAGCAGCTGTGAGTCTTGGGGGCCTGGTGTTGTGTTTATATCTTAACCTTAGGGGGTGGGGTGGGTGTGTTAAGTGGGGAGGGGCTTGCCCAAGCTAGAAGGCCTTGATTTGTGAGAGGCAGGTGCAATGTGGCAACCAGGCTGAGAACACAGGCTCTGCAGAGAGAGGCTGCTTGGGCTTATTTTCTAGCCTGGCTGCTGTGTGATCTTGAGCAAGTGTGATCTTGAGCAAATTGCTTACATCTCTGGGCCTCAGTTTCCTCTTCTGGAAAAAAACAGAGCTAATCATAGTACTTATCTAATAGGATTATTATAAGAATAAATGAGTCAATACGTCCAAAGTGCTTAGAACAGGGCCAGACACACAGTAAGCACTTGGAAACATGATAATGAAAATGAAGAGCAAGACAGAAGGGATTAGGGGAGAAGAGGAGAAATGGTTTTTCCAATTGGCCAATTGAAAGTGGTTGATACCAAACCACCTCTTTCAATTATTGGCCGGTCTGGATTTATTCTGATTCGCTCTTCTGGTAGGAGGAAGGGTGAATGGGGAATTGCAACCTTTCATAAAGGAGTGATGGGGAGATAGGGTATCTGCAGCAGGGACAGAGTAGCATCATTCAGCGATTGTTCTGGCTCAATTTTGAACTGAGCCTCATTCATCCTCTCCGGACCTCAGTTTCTTCCCATGTTTTCAATTTAAATAAAAGCAGAAGCATTAATAGAGGTAAATCGAAAACTGCTATCTCTCTGTGTGTCCTTCTGGCTTCCTGTCCTCCCTCCCTTCCCGCCTACCTGTCTGCCTCCTCTCCCCCTCCTTCCATCCCTCCTTTCCCATCTATCCAGCCATCCATCAACCTATATCTCCACCTACGTACCTGCCAGTCATCCATCCTTCTATCCATCCCTGAATTCTTAGCAGCCTACTTTGAAAAGAGGCTGCCCTGTTGATGAGGCAGCATTGTAAGTTATTTTGCAGGTTGAGGATGGCTTTGTGCTCAATCACTGTCTCTCTCTTCCCCCATCACAGTGCACATTTATGGGGAAGGCTGCCTGGCCACAGGCTGCTGGCCTCACTTGTTAATTCACAGTTCAACTTCTCCTCTCTCATCTCTCCCACATCACATTCACCATCAAGTTGTGTTCACTCTGCCTCCCAAGTAGATCTTAGACCCTTGTCTTCTTTCTGTCCTCACTGACATCTCCCCAGCCCCGGCCACCATCAGTTTTTCCCTGGGTTACAAGAATTATCCATAACAGGCCTCCCTGGTCTTTCTAAAAATGTGATACTTAATTGATAGTTTCATTCATCTGCTTAAAGCCCTTCACTGGCTCCTCCATCACCTCAAAATAATGGTCCAGATCCCTTTCCCTGGCACCCAGTCCCATTCCAGATCTGGCCCTCTGCCTCTCCAGCCCTTGTCTCCCCTCATCCCCTTACACCACTGAGTGGACTATGTACTCTTAGCCTTTATCACACACTCTTCCAGCTCCTTAGAAACCTCAGCTCCCCTGTCTTTTCTCCTGGTATAAGATATGCAGGCTTCAAGGCTCAGCTTAGGACCCCCTAGAATGCACTGGGTTCTTTTTTGCAGTTAATCCCCTTCTAACTGGTGTGTTCTGCTCGCCACGCTGCATTGCAATTGTTTATTTATCTGCTGCCTCTTCTACTAAACTGGAAGTTATTTGAGGGCAGTAACAGTCTTGCCCAACCTTTCACCAGCACCTAGCACAGTGCCTGGCACATAGTAGGCCTACAGTAAATCAGGAATGGTTTGAAGAGCTGACCAGCCCATTATGGGGAAGTTGGCATCATTAACCTTGTGCTTTAAGAAATGGTGACTTAAAAAACAATTGTGGGGATAGGAAGGAGACAGCTGTGAGTAGTCAGCTTTAGGTATATTCTAACTAACCTAACAGCCTGGAAACCTGGTCTTTTGGGTTTACATCAGATATAGCACTTGAAAAAAAAAAGAAAAGAAAATATAGTCAACATTTTCAGCCACTCCAGTTATATCATTAATCAGACATTTTCATATTTTAACATCTCTAAAATTGAAATCAGATTTAACATCTCTTAAAACTGATGATGTACATCATTGATTGGTATATATCTTACAGTTATAATCAGTAGTGCTTTCTTCTTAGGAATAAAAAACAAAGGTATACATTATAATTGATGATTACATTTTTGTTAAATGCAGCAAAGCCAAGTTCAATTTCATTTAATTCAGCAAACTGTTGAGTGACTCCTATATGCCGAGTCCTAAGACAGGTGCTGGGGCATAAGATGAACAGATCATGGTCCCTGGCCTCTGAGTGCTGTCGCTGCTAGCTTGAGAATTTGAACCTTGGGGAGTACCTGAAGGTTTGTGTTCCTTCTGCTGGTCCCACAGCCGGTGAGATCTTTTGTGGCGTGAACAGGAAAGAGAAAAGTGTGGTCATAGAACATGGACATGGTGGGCAGGCAGGTCTGCATCTAAAATCCTGCTCTCCTCTCTGCCTTTGCAATGCTGGACACATTACATCCTCTGCTTTCTGATCTGTAAAATGGGAATAAGCCATACTTCAGAGTTGAGAGGATTAGACCAAGTAATGTCAAGCTCCTGGTCGCCACCTGACCCTCTGTAAAGTGTTCTGTCGCCAGGACTGCGGTGGTGATGATTACTGTTATTACTACTAACCTGCTGCCGTACCTCTGCTTTCTTATAGCCATGGAGCCCATCACCCAAGACAAACGTGTCTCTCAGGGCCATAACGGAGACCTATACTTCTCCAACGTGATGCTGCAGGACATGCAGACCGACTACAGTTGTAACGCCCGCTTCCACTTCACCCACACCATCCAGCAGAAGAACCCTTTCACCCTCAAGGTCCTCACCAGTAAGTGAAGGCCCCTGTCCCGGGGCTGGGGGCCAAAGAAAGAAGCCCACTGATCCCACCCAGCCCTAGGTACCTGAGTCTATAGGGGGAGACTTGTCCTTGAGGCTGACCTAGAAATCCTTCCAGCTCATGGTGCCTGAGCCACTTCAGCTGCTCTTAAACGATCTCTCTTGATTGTGAAACCTTGAGTTAAACTTGGTCCTACTCTAAGTCAATCCTCCTCAAATTCTGGTGGGAATCAGAATCACCTTAGAACCTGGCAGCGTACCCAGAACCAGCCTATCGTACCTCAACAGCCCTGAGCCTCTTTGTTCTTTATGAGCCCTCCAGGTAATTCAAGTGCACCCCAGAGTTTGAGAACCACTGCTTCCAGTGGTCATCTAGAACCCCTCTCCGGACACAGCTTGATTATTTCTTTTATTTCTTCTCATTGCTTGGTTATCTTTATTTGTATAAGAAACCCATAGCAGAAAATATGAAAATTAGTGGAGACACCAAAATAAATTTTATTTGATTCTGTAATATGTATATGCTGAACCATATGGAATCGCTATGTTTGTAAGTTGCAGGCTTATGTTTGAGTTTTATTTGTTTTCGTTTCTATTCCCTGATTCTGTTTGGCTGGTACAAAAGCAAATCAGCATTTCCCGACCCATTATAGTGTTGGTGGCTCTCCCTTGAGGAGAGAGAGAAGCTTAGTCAGAAATGTTCTTCTTGGCAAGGACGAGGCAGCCTAGAGCTTTTGCTGCAAAGTCTCAGCCCACTCAGGACGTTGGAAGTTGTCTATGTTGATGTACACCATGGATTTGTAACACGCCTTCCATAAAGGAGCCCCCCAAAAAACAGACCTTAGTCTGACTCATGCTGTGAGTGTTGTTTCTGATGCTCTGGACAGTGAGGATTGTTGGGGAGGCCAGTAGAGAGCACCATGTGGGTGCTGGCAGTTTGCAAAGGTCAGAAAAAATAGGCTGACCCTGGCTTCCTGGAGCCCCTGCAGAGGTGGTGAACAATGGCTCCCCGGGTGGGTGTGGGTCAGGAGAGGTTCAGGTGAGATCACTTCTCATTCAGGACAGGTAGGGGGTGTGACCATTATCGTTCTCTTCCTTCCTCCCTATCCCTGCTGATGGCAGAGGCTGGTGGTCCTGAGAGCCAACACAGCCCCATGCTCCATTTCCACCATGGCACAGAGGTGGATCCAAAAGGAAGCAGCTTCCTTTTCTCTTCCCCTTCTCATGTTTTTTTTTTTCTTTCACCTTTTCATTTTCTTCCTTTTTCTTTTTCACTTCCTTCTTTATTTCTCCTCCCTCTTTCTTTTTCTTTCTTCTTTTCCATCTCTCTGTTCTGTCTTGGAACTCCATTCTGCCCTCCTCTAATCATCGCCTCCTGCCTTGCAGTGTCCCCACACACTGATCTGTGTTGGTGCTGGGCTGCCAAAGGTGGTAGCCGGCAGGTTGCCTGACACCTGCAGCAAGCCCCTCGAGTTCCTGGCAGGGTGACCTGGCTTCACTCCAGTTGCTCCCCCGTCCCTGACTTTCTCATTCCTGACCCAAGCCCAGGGAGACCCCTTGGAGGAGAAAGTTGGTTTGTCTGCAGTGTCTCCTCAGTCCACATCAGGGTGACTGCCTGCCAGCTGGCTGGGCTGGGAAGGACAGTGTAGTCTGCCCAGGACCTCGGAGTGGCCTCAGCAGCCAGGACAGGACTAACAGCATTGGCAGGGGGAGGAGCAGGGATGTCAAGAACAAGATAACATGCTCGCTGAGCTGAGCCTGGACAGCCATCAGCATCACCACCAGGGCCCCTCTCTCCTTGCCCAGACGACGCTAGAAATCGGCCTGCTGCTTTTGGAACTGAGTCAGTTGACCTTCTGTCATCCTGGGCAGAGCCCATCACTGTCACACAGAGTAGAGCAGAGGCCAAGAGACTGAGGTGGTGAAGAGTCTTCCTCTGTAGAATTAACTAACTTCCTCTGCAGTTAGAGATTTAAACAACATGTAGAACTTGGACTTTCCAGAAACACTCTTCTCTACCAGAAGAAGTAAGGGATGTTTGTTAATTCTTCATTTCTAGGTCCTCTATTCCACTGAAAACTCTTTCCTCCGAATGGCGAGAGACCCCCTAGGTGATTGGAACAGAGCCCCATCAGCTTCCTGGAGTTCTCCCAGGGGCAGCTCTGGCTGGGAGCAAGTTCTGGGCATCTGAGCCAGCCCAGAATTGGGCACACTTGCTTAAAATAGCACAGTGGTGCTCTCTCTACTTTCCTGTCTGGAGAGGACACAGGCTTTCTCTTGTACCTTCAGAACCAGGTCTGGGGTGGGAGGCAAAGCAGTCAGGCAGGGGCAGCTTCAAAGGCCCTATTCTCACCAGGCACTCCTGTCACAGTTTGCCCATTTGGGAAGAAATAAATCTCATCATGTCCCATTTTTATTACCTGCATTGAAGGAAGTTGACAATGGTATGTAATGCAAAATACTGGGTAATCTGAAATCATTTTTAAAACCTGGGATGCAGTCAAAGATAAGCAGTGGAGTTGGGCTACAGAGCTGGGCCCGTCCCACTCTGCCTATGCTGTAACAGGTGCTGGGTGCCTCCTGATGCAATAAGAGGCAACTGTGGTAAGCGAGGAGGGTCCTCCCTAAGGCAGACACCAGGGCACACCCCTTCTTCCTCCAGTGTCTAAGTGACATTCTTGGAGCAGTCAAAGAAGTTTCCGTGAATTTCTCACATGTGCTCCAGAATTCACAAACCACGAGGTCAGTTCTGGGCGTGGGCTACTTCTCTGGAGAGAGATAGGTTACATTTCACCTGGTGATATGGGAGCATGAAGGAAGGGCCCTGTCATCTGTATGTGCCACCATCCACCCCCAGGAGAGGAACAGAGTTGCCTCCCAAGCCCAGCTGCAGCCCCCACCTGCCCTTGGGCCACCCCATCTCTTCGTTACATTGTGGATTTATTCCTGCCTTTAGCTCCAGATGGACCCAAGCAGACTTCCCAAACAGGCTGGGTCTTTACAACAAACCCCATCTTAAGAGAGAGTTCTGAATAATGAAAATCTTCCTACCAGGTGGCAAGCAGATTTGGGATGCAATGCAATGCCAGTCCCAGAAAAGGACTCTCATACTTCTTGCAACTAGTTGTAATGGGATTGGATCTGTCGACAAATATGCAAATGTTTTGGCAGAGCCCCTGTTGTCCCTCGAGCAGTTGGACCATGTTCTTGCCTCCTCAGGGCCATCTGCTTGGCTTCCAGTCAGCTGTATACCCCACCCCCTTTTAGTACTGTCACAATTTGAACCCAGTTGCTGGAAGGGACCAGAGGTAGAGAGGGAAAAGCTCCTTCAGGACGCTGGCGTGATGATGTGTCCTCTTCTGAAATGTCTTTCTCATTAAGGAGTAAATGCCCACGAGTTTGAATTACCTAACATTGGAACTGAAGCCACTGATCTTGCTCCATAAGGAATGTCTTCAATCCTGCATAGTCTAGAGAGCTTCGAACCTCCAGAACGTTCAGGAGGACTTTCCTAGTCTGAAATGTAGAACTCACAGCTTGCACTTTCTCCTGTCCCAAGCTCCAATTCTAAATTCTAAAGCCTGAACCTCAGGGATGTTCTCCCCACCTCACTGAACCTCTCCCGGCATCCTCACAAGGAGGGCTTTCTGCCAACAGAGACATCTCCAAGATCATAGTGGTGCCCACCTGGGCAGACTCCAGTGACACATGTTGCTGGGTGTGGCCAGGGCCCCTTGGCCCAACTCTTTTGGTCAATGACCTCCTCCCATTTACCACCAACCTCCTGCAGCTTAGCTTCTGCCCAGGCAGCACTTTGCTCTTCCCCGGAGCTCACTAACACTCCTTTCTCTTTAGCTGCTCCAAGAGCTAGCCTGACCCAGAGTCCTGGGAACTGAGGATTTTGATAAGAAGGAGTTGTTCAAAAGATGGCTACAGGACACCACTAATCCTTCTCTCATTTGTTTGAAAATATAGCAGGACCAATTAATTAAAGTTCAAACCTAATTTCTTTAATTTTAAAAAAACCATTACTGTATTATTGCCTTCTTTTGCAGGATTTAACCTTTTTTTCTCCTTTTGTGGGCTGTTTTGTGTTGCTTGTTCTTCACTGAGCGTATTGCCTTTCCAAATATGCCGTGTCTTTCCTTTGCAAAAGACCACTGCTGCCCTCCTCAGTTGTTTTTCTGGCTTTGCATTTGTTTTCTCTCCCCGTTTATGCCTCTGTGACTTCTCCGTGGCCTCCTGTTTGCTCACCCTCTTTTGTTTGTTACAGACCACCCTTATAATGACTCGTCCTTAAGAAACCACCCTGACATGTACAGTGGTGAGTCGCAGCGGTAACCTTGGGAGTAACCTTGCCTGTGCTAACCCCAGTTTGCCTAACTTGACTGATACCACGTCATTAACTCCTGCTGGGTGGCAGCTGGCCCAGCCAGGGTGCCAAGGTGACACCTCCAGAAGGCTGCCTGCCAGGAGGCAGTGTGGGGGTTTGAGGTGGCTCACCTGGTGGTGTGGTCTCCTCTAACAGGCATGCCTCAAGTTGCTGAATTCTCAACAAGTTGTTCAAACCAGGGTAGGACTTCAAAAGAACTTCTTGAAAAGCAGGAACTTTTACTGAAAAAGTAGAAGCTTAGGAATCAAGAATGGATGAAGGGAGACTATCTTAAAATAGGTGAGTTCCATAGTGAAGAGAAAACAGGAAGTCTGGTTCCTATTGGTAGTTGAAAGAACACAGAAAGCTTGTTAGTATGTTCAGTTAACTCTAGATAGGAATTGCCTGCTTTGTAATCTCACCTTAGTTACCGGGAGTACCATTTCACAGTGAGGTCCCGTGTCTCTTTAAAATCCATCTGGGCAATAGGAGTAAGAGTCCAGCTCTGAGTTCTCTTTCAAGATGAGTATAAATGAGGTGAAACCATCCACCGTACCCTCTCACCTAGGCCTCTCTCCTCCTTTGGTAGTATATGCAAATCAAATGCCCACCAGTCCACACTTGCGAGACATGGAACAATTACAATGAGGCATGGTTTTAACTCATGACACAGCTGGTTGCTCAGTCTGATTAATAGGGTAATTGGCTATTTCCACACCTGAGTTACCCCTCACCATGGCTCAAGAATGTCTTATTTTCCCTGAGCAGCCAGAGGCACCATCATTTGCTGGCTCTGGTGAGGCAGCTGGCCCCCATCATTAGTTATGCCTCAGAAGCTGAGGCTGCAGGTCCTCAAGGGACCTCACTGTGGGCTGAAACAGATAGGAAGTGTCTGCACTGTGATGTGCTAATACAAAGGATGATGAGTGACTGGAGAAGGGGATGGGATGAGGGAGCGCGAGCCAGGGAGAGAGGCAAAGGCTCTAACTTGGCACCAAGCAGCTAGAACCACACTGAGATCCTGCCAAAGAGATTCACTACCCAAGGAATCAGGGGACCTTTGTTGGATTCTAAGCATTGTTTGTTTTCAAGATAATGGGGCCAACTACTATTGTGTTAAGAGCCCCAGAGCCCTGGTATGGAATGGGCCTTGTTCTAAATCGGATTCCAGGTAATCTGTTATAGGAAGTATTCTGTAAGCCTGAGTGCATCAGAGCCAGAAGTTCCCTTAGAGACCATCTGGTCTAAGTTCCTCACTTTATGTAAGATAAGCCATACAGGGGAACGTACACATAGAGTTGTTTTATCAATGGAATAAGTTTGAGTGATTCCAGTCACTTAAACCAGTTTGTGACCATTGATCAAACTATTATTGCAAGAGAATGAGTGGGACTTATGAGATCCATCCAGGACTATGAAACAAGCAAAGCTTACAAGAGTTTACCTGGAGATTGACCCCTTGTCCTCAATCCAGGGTAGGACGGAGCTGACCCAAGTATGAAGCTGCTGGAAAGGATATAAAGTCAAAGGGAGACACATTTTGAACAAAAGACAACTAGGCTGATGCTTCTAGCAAGAAATCAAAGGGAAATGGAAGGAAGGAGGATGACTTCTTTCTGGAGTGCAGGCATCTGGACAGAGAGACTTGATGAAAAGTGCCCAGGGCATCTGTCTGTTTGGCTCTGAAATATGGCACGTCTCTTTTGTAGCAGGAGGGCCACCCCATACTTCTATTTTGTTTTAGTGATTTCTAGAGTGGATTGGTATCCTCTGAACACTGCTAGGTGCCCCCTGACCTGCTGAGTGGCAGGAGAATCTGGTCTGAGATTGTAACTTGCCGCTTAGGATTCAGCCAGGTGAGGAGACCAAGTGGTTAAGAGTGTGTGCTCTGAGGTAGACTGCCTTGAATTAAATCCAGGGTCCGGGACATACCATTGAGTGATGCTGAGTAAGTCATTTAGTGTCTCAGAACTTTAATGTTCTCATTTGCCAAATGGATGTATTACCTGTCTCATAGGATTGTTGTGAAGATTAAACAGGAGAATGTGCTTATGGTTCCTAGTATGTGTTGGGCACATTCTCGATACTTAACAAGTGTTACCCATTACTGGTTTTAAAGGGAATGGTTTAGTGTTGACTGTATCCTGGATAGTTCTTCTATGCTTCTGAAATTAAGAAGGACAGACAGAACTTAAAGAGAAGCCAAGGGGCAAAAAGCAGGTGCAATTATAGGAAGAAAGTACCATAGAGGGAGAAATTGTAGGGCAGACCAGAGAAACAAAAGCTGTTCAAATCCTCAGCTGTGCTGAGAACTGCATAAGAAGAAAAGCTCCAACTACTGCATATGAGGTTTGGGTTAAACTTACAGGAGAAATTTCCTGGTACTGAAAGGTATCAAATATTACTAGACAAAGAGTTTTTCCTATCTTCTGGGGTTGTTTGGTCAGCCATTCCTAGAGCAAGAGAGGTGAATGAGATGCCAAGAATCTGGCCCCATGAGTCTCTGGTTCTCAGTTCTGAGAATCGAAAGCAGCAAAGTGGTCTGGATGAGGGATACAGATGCCCCTAAAAGCTGTTTTTGGTAGAGGTCCTCAGATACGTCTGATTCATTGAACTTTCTTGTCCTGCTAACACATAGCACTTGACAGAGGGGGGCAACTAAGGTTGTCAGGAGTCTTGATGTTTCCTCAAAAGAGATGATCAAGAGGCATTTATCGTTGGACCTTTAAGGCCAACATGGTTGAGGCATTGTCATCTCCTGTTGTCTGCTAGCTGACCATATTTCCCCAGAAACCCATGGACCCACTCTGAGCCACAGCTTACGAGAGCAGGAGAGGACTGACTGTCCCTGGGCAAGAAGTCAAATGAGCTGGCGAGGGAAGCTCTTCCTGAATCCACACAGATATGAGCTTTAGCGTATGGACTCTGAGTTTGATCAGGCATTAGGTCAGACCCCACTCTGAAGATCAGGGCGAATAACCAATACTCTCCAGGGATCCCTGCCTCCATGATGAAAGAGGGTGTCCCATGATAAGATGAGACAGTCATCTGCCACCATTTAGAGTTTCATCTAGTAATCACTGTTGTCTTAGAGTCTTCCTGTCTCTACTTCTCCAGGGAAGGAAATTAGGCACCCTCTTTGAGAACAGTGGCTCTCAAAGCCACCAGCTCTAGTATCCTTCCTAGATTTTCATATGAGTTCCTCCTGCTGCAATTGACTGCATTTCTTCATAACCTTTCCTTTAGGGCCAGCCATCTCATTCCTTAATGATATTATGTCCCCCAAATCTTCTTCAAGTTTTCCATGCCTTTAAGAATCCAACTGAGGTGCCTTTAGAGCTGCTGAATTCCCTCCTCAGCTTCTTTTTCTCCACCTTGGGCCCGAGTTTTTTTTAATAGCCACTGAGGAGAGGTGGGATCTTAGCTGAGACAGTGAGAATAGTAAAACATAGTGGAAGAGTTTCACCAGAGCAGCTCACTAAGACAGAAATATCTTTCTCCTTTACCTCTTTTGCCCTTGCATTTTCTTTGGTTTGAATAAGAAAGATATTCCTGAAGCTGACTGTCAGAAGTAGGAACAAGTGGGATGCCCATCTTTAGACAGAGAGGCAATGTAGAGTGGGTGGAAAGCACACGTTTTTGGTGCTAAATGGCACAGAATCCAAAACATAACTAGCTTGGAACCTTGGGCAAGTCTGTTGACTTCACTGAGCCTCAGTTGCCTCTGCTGAAAATGGGGATACAACCCTCCAGGTTTGCTGTGAGGATTAAGCATAAATGGTGGTGTGGATGGAGCTGTCAGCACAGTGCATGGTCCCTAGCAAACGTTCACTGAATGGTGGCCCTGATTATGACCTCCAACTTTTAGGATGCTCTTCTCTTTTTTTGAACTTTGGCTTGTTTCCAGTAGCTTCTCCTTCTTTAGGATAATTCTATTGTTGCTAGCCCACATCCTACAAATGCAATATTGCTGTAACCTCTTTATAGTCACAGCTACAGTGTGTCAAGGCACCCACAGCAGAACTCTGTGCTAAATTTTCCTCCTTCCCATCATTATTGCTTTGCTGGGTTGTGCGTGCTGGTGGTGTCGCGCGTTATGGTGTAAATTAAACGTCCATAGGGTCACAGATTGGTTTCTGCAGATTTCCTCCCAGTGTGGAAGGAGTATGACGACTTAGCTGGGACCTACCTCTTCCACAGAATCCCAGGGTTCCCAGCTCTTGACGGATTCACCAACCTGACAACAGAGCCTTCTGCCCTAGAATCTCCTTTCCTCATAGTGCCCATGTGTCTTGGTTGTTTTGGTGATTCCGTGATGGTGGGTGGGAGGAAGCTGTTGGTGTCAGGCTTCCTTGGTGCTGAGAATTGGATGCTACAAGAGTTATAGACATAGATGATAACCAATTAACCACATAATGGATTAACCCCTTCAGTAGTCACTGTTGTAATGTGTGTGCTGGTGGGACAGATGAGGCATCTACAGAAAGAGAAATAATATGGGTTAAACTGCTGCCTTATTTTTTGTTCTCTTCTTCCCCTCCAATCCATTCACCTTATAAACCTTCATTGAGCATTTGCTGTATGCCGTGTATTGTATCATCAGCCTCGTTACCCTCTGCATATGTTTCATCCTTTCTTCTTTTGACAAAAAGATAAAATAGAAGCAAACTCTATGAATTGCACTCCACCAGTGCCGAGGGAGAGAGTTGAGTGCCCCAGAACAGGAGCCCCGCCGGTGCAGCCAGGCCCCAGCAAACCCAGCAAGCTCCTTTAGGAAGCACCAGTTACATCTGGATAAAGTTCCCCCGCACTCTCTCCTCACGCTACCAGCACCGATTAAACCCTGGATAAGTGTCTTCATCCTCACCCCAGGTGTCTCTGAGGCCTCCCAGCTCCTGGCAGCTCTGCCTCCCCTCCACCTTTCCCTTGTCCTGCTGAGTCTAAGACCCCATTAAACCCATGGGTGGGCTCAGCTTCTATTTTTGTTTTTAGCCATTCCTATGTACGATCGTACACCTTGGCCAGGGGGTACTTCCTCCAGTTTCCCTTTTGCCTTGGGGTTTCTGGATGGAAAATTCTCGTTCTTTTCCCTTCCATCTTACCCATTCCCCTAGAGCTATACAAAGAGCTCTGGGGGAAGAGGTGAGGCTCGGGGAAGGTGGAATTCACTCTGTCATGGGTGGGCCCATGCTGGCACAACCCTTCTACAGGGAAACAGCCATCCTGAAAATGCCAATCTCTGTGAGCCACCTGGCCTTCAAGACCTGCATGAATCTCATTGATTTCAGACCCATGACTGTTCCGGCCTAGTTGCATTATAGATCATCACCTCCTCCAACTTGGCGGCCACTTTTCTCCCACCCCCTCCCCGAGCAGCTCACATGTAATTACTACTCTCCTCCCCAGCTGTCTTCCCGAGTCATTAGTGAGGAGGCAGAATGGTCTTGGCCCCGGAGTGATTTCCTGTCATCTCTGTTCATTAACTCTCTCCATGTCTTTGCTAAGCCATTAATAACTCTCCCTGCATTTCTGATTGATTGTGCGGGCTTTGTGACTCCATCCCAGCACCTTGTTTTCAGGGTCCTAAAGAGCAGGTTGTCTGTCCTGTGGACCCAGTACATGCCTTCTCTGCTTCCAGATCCCTGCCTGGGGAGAAGGACCGCTGCTGAGATGGCCTGCCCTGGGGGCCACACAGTGGCCTCTGGGATCCCAACACAAGCTGCTCTGGAGTAGATCTCGCACTGCTCAGACAGCCCCTCCCCGTTCCAGGGAAGGGGAGATTCCCTGAACCTGAGGGAAGCTGGGCTCCTCCAGGCAGATCCTTTCAGAACCTAGAGCTCCTCTCTCTCATGTAGGTGGGGCTGAGGAGCCCTGGGCTTCCTAACACACCTCACTTAATGATGCCCAAGTCCTTGGGATGGTTTCAGCTGGGAGGATCCGGCAGGGGCGGTGATGCCACTTCTCTCTAGCCTGACAGCGTTGGCCTAGTGGGGTCTGCCTTCTGGAAGGAGGCTCATGGGAGTTTGTTCTCTCCTGTTTCAGCCCGAGGAGTTGCAGAAAGAACACCAAGCTTCATGTATCCCCAGGGCACCGCGAGCAGCCAGATGGTGCTTCGTGGCATGGACCTCCTGCTGGAATGCATCGCCTCCGGGGTGTATGTGCGGTTTGCAGCCCCTCTTCTAGCCACCCTCCAGGAGGATGGGGATGGGAGCTTGTTCATGCTCTTGTTAATGCCACATTTAGTGCATACCAGTAGCACAGCAAAAAGAGAAGCAAACAGCCTCTAGTGAGCAGGGTGTTGCAAACCATAGTCATCTCCATCCTATCCTGGCCATCTCTGTTTTGGATAATGAGGAAAGAAGGTGATTAGGCATCCCGTAGATGCGTTAGAATCTCGTGGGACCTTAGCTAAGCCTTCAGGCTCTCTGTGGCTGAGCATCCTCCTCTGCACAGGAAAGATCAGCTTTTAGAGGACATGCATCCTCCTGGGCCCAAGTATACTTTTAGGCCACCTGGGTGTCCCCAGCTGTATAGAAGAGGAGAAAGGCCACGTTTAGTGATAACTTGTTTCCTGCTTGGCGCCTCTCCTAGCCCAACACCAGACATCGCATGGTACAAGAAAGGTGGGGACCTCCCATCTGATAAGGCCAAGTTTGAGAACTTTAATAAGGCCCTGCGTATCACAAATGTCTCTGAGGAAGACTCCGGGGAGTATTTCTGCCTGGCCTCCAACAAGATGGGCAGCATCCGGCACACGATCTCGGTGAGAGTAAAGGGTACGTTGTGTGTATTTATCATTATGATTATGTTGCCAACCCTGAACACCATGCCCACCCTTCCCTCTGAGGGTGGTTGGGGGCAGAGTGAGTCGGAGAGACTTCCAGCCCACTGCTCAGTGGCAATGGCGATCTGCCATGGATGGTGTCACTCGCTGGACGTGAGAGGGTGTGTGCATGCCCGTGCATGGGGCAGGGGGTGTTAAGGAGATCCACCCTGGCCATCATCCAACTCTCCTTGGTGCCAGCGCTCCCTCAGCGGGTGAATTTCCTCCCACGGCCCATTTGGATCATTCCCAGAGCCTTTTTTTCCTTTCGTTTTGCATTCCCGTTTGTGATGTGTCACGTGAGCCCGTGCTGTCTGTGTACCTATGCATGATGCTGTGCTGCTTTTTAAAACTGGGGAGTGGTCATGGCCAAAATTATTTTCTAAAATCACTTCCTTCCCCCCAAAGCAAAGAGGGCCCACCCGAGTGATTGCAGGCACCAGAGCACGTGTCGTCATGGGTCCCCACCGTGTGTGGCAGGCTGCACTGGTCACTGTTTGGCCTGGGGCTGTATGGATGGTTGAGATAATGATGTTCGAGACCAGAGTATAGAAACTTTCTTAGCAGGCAGTCAGTTGATCTTGTGACCTTGGCTTCAGCACCATACACAAACTAAGGAGTTCTTAGACTTTGAGGGGTAGGGGGTGAGTATCAAGATTGTTGATAATCTGATCTGAAAGGCTCACTTCTCAGAAAAATCCACATTTCCACATATTCACAAAATTGTCTAAACAACTGAACAAGGTGGCCAGCTGAGAACTGCTCTAGCTGGGCGTGGTGGCTCATGCCTGTAATCCTAGCACTTTGGGAGGCCAAGGTGGAAAGATCATGAGGTCAGAAGATCGAGACCATCCTGGCCAAAATGATGAAACCCCATCTCTACTAAAAATACAAAAATTAGCTGGGCGTGGTGGGACATGCCTGTAATCTCAGCTACTCAAGAAGCTGAGGCAGGAGAATTGCTTGAACCTGGGAGGCGGAAGTTGCAGTGAGCCAAGATTGCGCCACTGCGCCCCAGCCTGGCGACAGAGCAAGACTCCATCTCAAAAAAAAAAAAAAAAAAAAAAAAAGAACTACTCTAACCAAAATTCAGTGCCTAAAGAAATGTTCATTAGGCTTTTCCTAAATGGTCTGATCTTGCAAAACAGAGATCCAGAGGGACCAACTCAGTGCCCACTTTACCACCTTCCCTAGCAGTGGAGCCATTGGATGCACACCTCAAACACTGGTGACCTCTAAAAGCATCTGCCACCCAGGCCTCCTGTGAGGATTCTGATTTAGTAGGTCTGAGATAGGCCCTAACATCCCTTTTTTTAAAAAAAGCTCTTCAGGGGATTCTAGTGAGCAGCCCCAGTTTAGAACTATTGTTCTGTGAACTCAAAATAGACAGATCAGCATCTGTGCAGCCAAGCCAGCCAGAAACAGGCTGGACCAAGTTATCCCTGTGAGGATGAGCCCTGGGGCAGGTGGTGAGCACGTGGTGCTGGGACTCAGGGGCTCCTGCCATACTAGAGGGAGACTGCTTGGTTTCTTCTGCCTGTCCCATGCCATCTAACTCCCCTGCCTGTGTCTGTCTTGTCTTCCAGCTGCTCCCTACTGGCTGGACGAACCCAAGAACCTTATTCTGGCTCCTGGCGAGGATGGGAGACTGGTGTGTCGAGCCAATGGAAACCCCAAACCCACTGTCCAGTGGATGGTGAATGGGGAACCTTTGCAATGTAAGTAGCGAGCTGTTGTCCCATCTGACTCTCATCTCTCTGCTGTCAAAGGCTTCAGATCCCCATCACTGTAGCCAGTGCTGGTCACACTAGAAGTTCAGGAAGAGAGAAGCCCACTGGTGGCTGTTTCTCAGCTGCCCATCTCTTCAGACATCTCAAGAGGCAGGAAACCTACCCTCTCTTTGTGTGAGAGAACAGGAGGCCTGGAACTCTGTGGTCATATTCCCATGCTTAAGGGATTTCTGCTCCCTTGGGGTTTTTTAAATCTCTGCTTTCTCCCTCTGAACAACTTCAGAGCCCAGTTGATGGCCTGGGGACTGTGGCTGCATCTCTGGGTGGTTGGGCTTTGAGTGATGGCTGGGGCTGGGAAGGTAGAGGAGAATTCAGTAACCCATTGTTGGTTACTCAAGTTCCGCTCTCTGCTAAGGGCAAAAGAAGAAGCAGGGTTGTACAATAATGTGAAATATTATGGTTAGATATGAGGAAGAACTGCCCCCAGAAGAGCAGATGTACAAGTGCACTTTATCGAGTATGCTTAGACTTTGGGGACATTTAGTCCTGCCCAGGTGGATGGAGTAGATGACTCCAAGACCCCTTATAATCAGTGGCCTTGGTCAAGTTTTCACATCATAGACTCTCTGGTTGCATTACTTTTCAAAATGTCCTGTCCTTACTTTCTCTAAGAGGTCAGAGGAAATGTAAACAATGGTATCAACCAAATGGGGAAAAAGTAGATGGCGAGAACTCAGTCTAACTCAAGAGCAGCAGCTGGTAGAAGCAGGTGGAGAGGGGGGGACACAGGTAGAGGAGAGGGTAAGAATTTACCTATTTAGACATATATTGTATGCCACATTCTGTGCTAGATGCTGCACTCCATTGTTGCTTTACTTTCAAACATTTAAGGTAAGGAAATAAGGTTCTCCTCAGTGCAATGAGTTGCCCAAAATCGCATGGCTAGGAAGTGGTGAAGTTGTGGGTTGCTGTGAGTCTGCAATACAACTGCACCAGCTAGTACTGAACCTAGTTATCCCCAGTAAATGTTACTCCCCAGCTACAAGCAGAGATATGGACACTGCCTGCCCTCTACAGTTCTCTCCGTCTTAATAGGACTTTGGGGGTAAGCTAGGCAATTGCGCTAAACTTTACAGCACCATTCAATAAAGCAGCTCAGGACTTGCAGCTGAGCCTCAGCCCTGGAAAGGTCACCTGTCACTCTCCCCAGGGAACGTGTAAGGAGAGTGACTGGGGGGATTATTGGTTGCACGAGAATTTGCCAGGCAAGGAGGTGTACAAGTTTCTGGCATTGCCTTCCTTGGTCCCTTTTCACTGAGTGGGGACCCGGGCGTGGATGATAAGGGTGCTAACTTTGTCTTCCTTTCCCATCTGCTGATTCCCCGGTTCTGGGCTCAGGCTGGCTATCTGTGGAGTGGCGCCTGCAGGGCGACTCCTGCATCCTCCGCTGACTTCCCCTGTAGGTCTGAGTCATCTTGAATGCGTTCATGTACTCTGTAAGCTAAGTCATCAGCTTCCTAGTCCAGAAATCTTAGGAAGGAAAGTCACTTTCTAGTGGTTAAAGATGAGAAAAGTGGCAATTCTTTACATTTCTAGAAAATTTTTGTTTTTACAGCTCATTATTGTTCTCTTATCTTAGCCTTTCTTAGAGTAGGGGAAAGGTGGAAGTGATTCTTCCCCATCTTACAGAAGAAGGAAATGAGGCCCAGAAAGGTTTGTTGATTTACCCCAGATCCCAGAGTGAAGTGTGGACCCCCAGCCCTCTCCAGCCTCTGCTCTCTGCATCCCAAGCCAGCAGTACTAGAACTGTGGGCAAGAATATCCTCTCTCAGTTTAGGACACATTTTTGGGGAAGAGCTGTGAGCTTTGTCAAATAAAATGACTCATTCCATTTTCAAGAGGCATTGGCTTATGGGTTTAACTTTATGAATGTTTGGAGCATGCTCTCTTTGGAGGATGGGAAGGTGGTAGGTTCTGTCTATTGTATACTGTTTTGTCCTTTTCAAAACACACTTAAATATATGCACATTCGATTAAAATGATAATAACAGTATGTGTTAGACCTTCTGTTCATCATTTTGTACATGCATAAAATCTCAGGTTATCTTCACAAAAACCCCATGAGGTGATCTGTTATTCCCATTCTGCAGACAAGGAAACTGAAGCTCACAGAGATTGAATGATGCTGGTAGGAAGTGATGTGGTTAGAACCAAAACTCCTTTCTGTTTCCAAAGCTAATGCTCTCAACCACAACTGCCCAATGGGTAGGTAGGTCGAACAGGAATTCATATTCCATACTCTAGGCTAGATTAGAAATAAACCCCAAAGGTTCAGAGAAGGGCTCAAGGTCACACACAGCCCAGCAGTGGCAAGGCCAGAAGCCCTGTCATCTGGCCCCCCATCTGGTGCTCCCCACAGCACCCCGCTTGTTCCTGGGAGCCCTGGCCAGAGCCCCAAGTGCCCTTCACCCTGCCCTCCCCATCTCTCATGAGGAGCGTCTCTTTCTTGTCTGTAGCGGCACCACCTAACCCAAACCGTGAGGTGGCCGGAGACACCATCATCTTCCGGGACACCCAGATCAGCAGCAGGGCTGTGTACCAGTGCAACACCTCCAACGAGCATGGCTACCTGCTGGCCAACGCCTTTGTCAGTGTGCTGGGTGAGTGTGCCCTTCGCAGCCTGTTTCCCCCTCCTCTCCACTACTGCACAGTCGCCCTGGGGCTTGGTTATGTCGTGGGGCACACTTTCTTCTCCGGGGATTGGCCAAGCTGGGTGAGGTAAGAGGATGTTGGATAGGGGAAACATGGAGATGGGAAAAAATTTGTGAGAGGGATGGAAGGGTCAAAGCTGGGAGGAAGTTAGCAGATCATCTGGATCAACCTCCTCATTGTACAGATGGAAGACTTAAAATTCACAAAGCTGGATGAGCAGACAGTTAATTCCATCAGAGCAGTCAATCTTAGTCTTCTCCCTCCCCTGATGAGATAGAGTGGGACTGTCCCATCGCCTTGGTGTATCCATGTTGACTTCCCCTGGGTTCGCAGCTGGATCTCACGGTGGGAAATGGTTCTGAGTATATTTGCTGTACCCGCTGGGCAGGGAGATGGTGGTGGAGGGGTAGCTAGGAAATGCCTTAGGGCTGTGATGGGGCAGCTATGGAACCTGCTGGATAATTTGGGGAGACCCTTTGCAAAAGCTGGATTTGGATGTAGGGTAGGTTGAGGGCAGAGGACGTAGTAAGCTTCTCCTTCCCCACCTAATCCTTAGGGGCTTCCTGAAGGAGGGAAGGTTGATAGGGGAAGGTGTCTCAGTGCCTGGGAAGCTGCTGTAAGCAGAAGGCATGCAGAGGTGAGACCGAGGGGGAAGAGATGGAAGAGTTTAGACTTGGCACTCGAGATTGCTTCTCTGGGAATTTCAGATGTGCCGCCTCGGATGCTGTCGCCCCGGAACCAGCTCATTCGAGTGATTCTTTACAACCGGACGCGGCTGGACTGCCCTTTCTTTGGGTCTCCCATCCCCACACTGCGATGGTAAGTTCCAGGAGATCAGGCCTTCCACAGCAGGGGTCACCTGTCTCATCTTCTCCTTCCCATCTGGCCCATAGTAGGTGTTCAGCAAGACCTGGGAATCTTAAAGGGTCAAAGCTGGGAGGAAGTTAGCAGATCATCTGGATCAACCTCCTCATTGTACAGAATGGGAAACCAAGACCTTGAGAGGGATGGAGGCTTGCCAGGGCCACCTGGTGGCTAGAGGCAGACCCTCCGAGGCTCAGGGCTCCAGTCTCCTAGCATGGGGCTCCTTCCACAGCCCCCATGGTCTCTCTTGATTGGCTGCTGCCCCTGCCCTTGGGCTGGTCCTGTCTCAGGATGCTGTGTGTTCTGCTGCTCTGTTGTGAGGTTTAAGAATGGGCAAGGAAGCAACCTGGATGGTGGCAACTACCATGTTTATGAGAACGGCAGTCTGGAAATTAAGATGATCCGCAAAGAGGACCAGGGCATCTACACCTGTGTCGCCACCAACATCCTGGGCAAAGCTGAAAACCAAGTCCGCCTGGAGGTCAAAGGTAAAGGAGAGGGTTCGCCAGTGGGAGTTTGGAGAGGGACAAGGAGGCCATGCTGGCAGTTATCCACATACAATATTCACATTGAAAATGCACCACACCTGTCTTTAACCTGGAGTGGGCTGCCCAGTTTGCACCTGTGGAGTCCTTTTAGGATCAGTGTGGTCCAAAGAGAATTAGGAAGGGAAACCTTCTGCTCACACCAACTCCCCACTACCAGCCCAGAAATTACATCATATATTCCTGAGCCAGATGGAGTGGATTTGGGGCATTATCTGCTTTGGGGATTACCCACCCAGAACTCTGCTCCGTTCATACCATAGCATACTGTTTGTGCCCCACTCCATAGTTGGCCCAAGGCCTCGAGGGCAGACATATGCCACTTTGTGGCCGCATGGGGATGCTGGGCAGAGAACAGGCCAGTGGCGAGTGCTCTGGGCTTCTCCACAGACCCCACCAGGATCTACCGGATGCCCGAGGACCAGGTGGCCAGAAGGGGCACCACGGTGCAGCTGGAGTGTCGGGTGAAGCACGACCCCTCCCTGAAACTCACCGTCTCCTGGCTGAAGGATGACGAGCCGCTCTATATTGGAAACAGGTTTCTCTTCCCCCTTCCCCCTTCCTAGTGCTAGTTTGAGGCGCATTTTCTTTTCCCTTGCTGTTGGTGACACATGGAAGAACACAGGGACAGGGAACCCGTGTCATGCATGTCACCAAGGAGCTTCTGCAGAGGGGGTGATGGCCTGGGCAACTCCCCTGCTTCAGGGGAGACCCCCCCACCGACCCTGTACAACCTCCCTCTCTCCCACCAGCTCCCTGCTTCTCTCTCCTACACCTCCTCTCTCTCCCTCTTCTCAATCTCTTCACTTCTCCTCTCCCTGTCTCCCCTCACTTCGCCTCTTTTCCCTTTCATTTTTGCCCCTGTCTTCTCTTTTCCTCCTTTGCTGCATCCCAGGCTCCAGCCTTTCAGCCCTATTTGCAGTACCCCTAATCTTCAGCAGAGGGCAGGGTTGATCTGAGCCAGCTCTCAGCCCTGACTGAACCTGGCATGCTTTTACCACACCCACGCCTGCCCCGCTCCTCAGACCCTGATTTCATTGGTGTAGGGTAGGACTTAGGACACTGGCAGGGTTTAAAAGTCCCCCTGGGGGTTCCAGTGTGCATCAGGGTTGAGAACCACTGTTCCGAGCCTCCCTCCCCAGGGCTTACTTTGCTTTACCTTCTTCCACCCCGAGGGAGCAAAGTTGTGCAGGGCCCTGCAGTTGGACACGGTACCAGCGGTTTCTAGCCATCATTTGACTTTTTGCAGAGGGTGTTCCCCTCTGTAAACCTTCTGGCACTCAGTGCTGACAGCTCTACAGCCCCATTCTGCTCTGTGGCCTCCCCTCTCTATAGGAGACAGTTCCCAGGAGCCTGGGGTCAGGCTGGCCTGAGCATGGGTGCAGAGGAGACAAGTCTGGGCTGAAGACAGACAAAGCTACAAGTATGAGAGGAGAAGGAATACCAACCTACCTTGGGGTCATGGGCCTCATGGTGCCCTCATCTGGGAGGGGTGCACAGCACAGTAAAGGCACAGAGGCAGGCACACGTACAGAATTTGAAGGTGGCAAACGTGCTTCACAGCCACTTGAGCTCCGCCCACTCTCTGTTCCCCTCCATCAAGTATGATGAGTGCTCCAGGTGACTGTGAAGACCTCACCTCTGTCAAAGCATTGAGAGGGAGCCTCATACCCCCAGAAGGAGCTTCCCTTGCCCTCCTGACTCGAGAACCCCCTCTAGGGAGAAAGCAATGGGCAGGACTCAGCACTCCCCTACCCCCTCCTCCCAACCCTTCCTCGGTACCTTTGCAGGATGAAGAAGGAAGACGACTCCCTGACCATCTTTGGGGTGGCAGAGCGGGACCAGGGCAGTTACACGTGTGTCGCCAGCACCGAGCTAGACCAAGACCTGGCCAAGGCCTACCTCACCGTGCTAGGTAACTGCCCATGCTCACCCTGGCACTGACCAGCCCCACCCCCTCCCCAGCAGCCAGAGAAGCAGTGGCCCGGGGCAGTTCCGAGGGCAGTGCCTGCAGTCAAGTGGCCGGGTCAGGCGTGGTGATCTCTTCTTGCCTCGTGATGTCAGGGTTAGGGAGCTGCCAGTTTCAGAACAAGCTGTGCTGGACAGGTTACCTCCTGAGTGGAGTCATTAACTTCCCCACGTCTCAACTGAAAGGGGCCTGAGTGATATAGAGAAAGTGGAGAGGGGTTTCTCGTTGTGATCATTTTACCTTTCTTACAGCTAACTCCACCACTAAGTCAATTAAAACAATCCATCCTTAAAGCAAGACTGAGTTTGTGTTTGTGCTTCCAATGACCTCTGCCAGCCTTCCTTTCCCTCCCGCTCCATCCCTGGGTTTTGGTAGCGTTTCATCACATGCTATGCACTAAGCAAGATGACGTTGTGTCTTCCTGTCCTGCACCCAGGCTGGACTGTAAATACTAAGCTAACCCAAACCAAGAGGAAGGAGGCCTCTCCCTTCCAGGCAAGCAGGTCCTCTGTCACCTCTGCCTCCCCGTGGGTGCCCTACTGCCACTAGCATTGGCGCAGTGGAGAGGCACAGTTGCAGAGAGGGTGGGCCCAGACACGATAGTCACATTGGGATGGTAAGGAAACAGAGGTGCCGCCCCCAGCTGTGGAGGAAACACAGATGGCCTCTATAAGGGTAGGGGATTCCCCATGGAAGGACGGGGACAGCCCTGCCTAGAACACCTCAGCCCAGAGGCAGCTGTTTAAGCCTCGGCTGCCTACCCCCATCCTTCTAGAACACCTTTAATGCTGGATAACCTGCTAACCTGGATAACCCGTCTTACCTTTGCAGCTGATCAGGCCACTCCAACTAACCGTTTGGCTGCCCTGCCCAAAGGTAATTCCCACTAATCACAGTCCCCTGCCAGTGCCCTCTCTTGGCACCCAGGGTGTGGAGTCTGGGAGAAGGAAGCCACTTTGGGAAAGGGCGACAGTGTGTAGGTTTGTGGGCAGCACTCCTGGCTACATGGGACCTCCTTTGAGTTGCCCACGTCCACCTCCCCACGGCCCTTTGCTGGGCTTCCTGCTCCTTACAGGGTGAGCTCGGAAGTTCTCGGCTGCTGTTTTACCCCATCCCTTGCCTCCATCCACACTCACCGCTCCCTCAGGGTGGCCTGTCCTCCCAGCAGTCTTTCAGGTCCTGTTTGCAGGGAATGCGAAAGCCTGCTCCCTTCACATCACCTGGAAACTCATTGTTCAGCCTCCCTGCATCTATTGCTTTCTATCCATTTACAATCTACACACACATGCCACACATACGTGAACGTGGGCCTGTAGGACTCACCTTCCAAGTCCTTCTAGTGACCATCTGAAAGATGGAAATACCTGGTTCAGGGAGTCAAGATGGAGAGAAAATCTTGCCTACCCGTACCACTCAGTAGCCGATGTCTTTATCCCAGGCCAGGATGGCACTTAGACCCACTAAAGCAGTCCCAGTGAGATTCATGCCCTAAAAAAGGTGCTGCCCTCACCCCTGTTTGCAAGCCTGCTAGGCTTCTGTCCTGCTGTCCATCAATGAAATGCCTAAGCCAAGTCTCCATCTCCTCCCTGGTCTGATCCCCTCTCTTTGTTGCCCCCACTCCCCTAACCCATCTGCCATGTTCAGCAGGCCAAGCCCTCTCCTGGGTTCCCATCTCCTCAGAGCCTTGGCACACAAAGTAGAGGACAATTAATGTGAGAAAATGGGACAGAATCCCACACTCCCTCATCAGCCTTCCTAAGTGTCGTGAGCATGGGTCTGATGACGGGTGGCATTCCTGAATGCTTGCACTCTCAGAAGATCCACCAAGACGGAATGGCGTTGGTCCCAGTTCTGTCTGCATAAGCCCCTTTATTTCCTTGTTCCACACCCATTGATATTCTTTGTGGGGGGGGGCTGGGATTTCAGGAGTCTCCTCTTTGTTTTCCCTTGGGCCCCTGTGGGAAGGGAGTGGTCCCTGTGCTCACCCCTCAGGGCAGGCTGGGGTTGGATCCAGCTGGTAGCGAAGACAGCCCGTCAGGGAGCTGTCCAGGGCTAGGGCCATCACAAGGGTGGACCTGCTCTAACTCAGGAGGCCTGCGTGGTGTCTTCTGCCACCAGGACGGCCAGACCGGCCCCGGGACCTGGAGCTGACCGACCTGGCCGAGAGGAGCGTGCGGCTGACCTGGATCCCCGGGGATGCTAACAACAGCCCCATCACAGGTAGCTCAGGGCCTTGCACCCCAAAGCTGGAAAAGAGGGACGGCAACACCCTTAAACCGAAGGCCTTTCCTGGTTTCCAGCCCCACTTCTGCCTCGCTTGATGTGTGTCCTGGGCTAACCTCAGAATGTACAGAGGCCTTGGTGTCTCTTCCTGTGCCTTGGGAAGAATTCTCCTTGTGCCTTTGTGTGAGAGAGATTATAAAGATCAATGGAAGCCAAGAAGGAAGTGCTTTTAAAGAAGACCACTGCTAACTGAGCTCCCGAAACAGCTCTGTTTTCCTTGCCCACTCAGACTACGTCGTCCAGTTTGAAGAAGACCAGTTCCAACCTGGGGTCTGGCATGACCATTCCAAGTACCCCGGCAGCGTTAACTCAGCCGTCCTCCGGCTGTCCCCGTATGTCAACTACCAGTTCCGTGTCATTGCCATCAACGAGGTTGGGAGCAGCCACCCCAGCCTCCCATCCGAGCGCTACCGAACCAGTGGAGCACGTGAGTACCCGAGGGCTGCCAGAGAAGGCTCCGGAACCCCGCACCCCAAACTCACACTGAGATCCCCCCATTCCCAGCCATGTGAACTTAGGTTACTTAACTTCTCCAAGGCCCGGCCTCATCTGTGAGGCAGAGAGTAATAATAACACCTACATCACAGAGCTGTTGTGAACATTTGAGAATGTGTGCCAGGTACTTACTATGATGCCTGGCATGTAGTGAGCACATGATAAATGCTAACTTCCATTTTTATTATTAGTAATTCTTGATTATCTGCTTTAAAGGGGAGAGCTGTGGCAAAGAGGTACAGCAGAAATACATAATTCAGTGTGAGAAATATATAAATTGGTATTACATCAGATTTCTTTTCCTAACACTCTTGGGTAATATTTGGATTTCTGAAATCACACCAGCTCATAGAGGGTAGAGATGCTGCCCAAAAAAAATGTTAAATGCCAGGGATAAGCCAGTCTGGTATGAAACACATTTAGTGGATAATCCACAAAGGAGCTAATCCACATTGAGTTGGCTTACTGACCACCCACAGTGTGGAAAGCCTTATGATAAATGCTGTCTGGTAAAGGATTAAAATTCAGAAGAAATTAGCCCTGCTCTGGGAGTTTAAATCTCAGCTCAAAAGGCACATCATGCACAGAGTAAGCTCATTTACATACCAGACCAAGCGTATACATAGATGCCGAGGAAAGACAGAGCATAGAACAGACCCATCAGGTAGGACAGAGGAAGGTTCCTTACCTTGCCCTGGAAAGGCACAAATTGGACTTGAGCCTGTGTCTGTTTGGGTTCCAGCCCCCGAGTCCAATCCTGGTGACGTGAAGGGAGAGGGGACCAGAAAGAACAACATGGAGATCACGTGGACGGTAAGAGGCCCTCCCAGCCCCAGTGGAGCAGCTCACCTTGCCGCATGCACCGGGAGCCCCTCTCCCTTGATGCCCCGACACTACGAGGCCATGATGTGGTTCAGACTCTCTGGCTGGTCTTGGTGGCCATTCTTCTTTGAGAAACCAAGCTCCTCTCTGAGTTGGGCATCCAGAAACCAAACAGGACAAATGTCTAAGTGTAAGATTTCAGAGAGGAGACAGGAGCAGAGGGGACCAGGGTCCACCGACTGCCAGTCTAGCAAAACGCATAGAGGATGCAGCAAAATCAAGCAGACTTCTCTTGAAGGAGGAGGGACTGGGGTTAGACTTTAGAAAAGATCTAAGCACAACACCAAACCAAGTTCTGGTGTGTCCTAGGGCCCTTTCACTGGAGATTTGTGGGAGCTGGGGAGAGACCAACATCTGAGATGTGTCCAGTACAGGCTTTCTTTTGGTCCAAGAATGGACTAGGTCATTCCAAAGACTCCCTCTGGTCTTAGAAAATCCCATCTTCATGCTGGCTCACTGACTACATTTTCCAAACCAAAACTGGAGTATGTGGTCTCAAAATGACTTTTTTCCCAAACCACTTCCCAGTCTGAGAATGCAAACGCAGCCACTGAAATATTAACATTTCTGAGCTTCTGCCATGAGTAATGGAAACTGGGAGATGCAGTGTTTGGGATCATGACCTTCCCTGTCTTTCTGAAGGCTGCTCCCACAGCAGCCTTGGCCAAACAGGGCAACGGCAGCTGGGCTGAGCCCAGATTCAGGACCCTGGTCTGTGGCTCTGTATAGCAGGCTCCAAGAGGACTGATTCCTGGGCCAGGCCCTTAGAAAATAAAGAGCAGAATCACACCCATGTTTAAAGAACTCTGACCTCTTGGGAAGGACAGGACAGACACACACAAATTCGGTAGAACTAAAGTCCATTCTGGAATTTTGAGTTCATTAGCAGGAGCCATGCTGTGGTTAACCACAACTCATTTCTTCTGACTTTGGAGAAGTTTACCTTTTGTCTATATTTTGCTTTATTGGTTGCTCCTGTCACAGGAAGGAGTTTTGTTGAAAATAAAACCTTTGCACCTACAAATGCGGGTGGCTCTCAGAGTCAGAGTAACTGGGTCTCAGGCGAAGCCTGTGTCACAGAAAATCTGCATGCTGCTGGGTTCACAGGACCTTGGGCTTTTGGGGGACTCACTGGGGTGGGGGATATGGTCTTCCCTACCCTGCAAGGGGGCAGGCCAGTGTTGGGCACATCTGGAAGGGATGCCTGGCACAGCAAGAGAGGGCAAGCTGTGGGTGGATCTGGGCCCCTCTCTGGCAGCCTCTCCAGCCTGTCTGTCCCTCTGCCCAGCCCATGAATGCCACCTCGGCCTTTGGCCCCAACCTGCGCTACATTGTCAAGTGGAGGCGGAGAGAGACTCGAGAGGCCTGGAACAACGTCACAGTGTGGGGCTCTCGCTACGTGGTGGGGCAGACCCCAGTCTACGTGCCCTATGAGATCCGAGTCCAGGCTGAAAATGACTTCGGGAAGGGCCCTGAGCCAGAGTCCGTCATCGGTTACTCCGGAGAAGATTGTGAGTAGTCTCCTCCCCGTCCCCCCATCAGGACCCTTGTGGCTAGGTCGCACGAGGCCACGCTCACAGGCCAGGAACCTTGGGGTGGGTATGGGAGGACAGCCAGTTCCCAGGAAGGAAAAATGTTCTGTAGTGACCTAGAGCAGACAGGCACCCAGTAATGTCAGGAGTGGAAATATCATCCGAACGTAGTTGGAATTACTGAATGTCATCACCCAGTCCAGAATTCTCATTTCACAGATGTGAAAACTGAGGCCCAAAAAGGGAAAACCCTCGGCAGTGTTCCATAGTCATCAATGTCAGTCTTGAGAACAGAGCCCAGGTCTTCCGATCCCCTGGCAGTCTGCCTTACTGCTAAGCCATACTAGTACCAAGAAAAAACATCAGGACTACCCATCCTAAAGAGCTATAATTAGACACTTCTGTAGGAAGCAGGGCAGCTGGCCAGAGGTTCCCCCGGGGAAGCCTTGAGGGATCAGGAGGCCTCCTCAGCAACCAGACAGGAGCACCCCAGACCAGCCCCTCCTGGTGCTCCCGCTGCGGCTCCCAGCCCTGGGAACTGAGCACAGAAAGAGAAGGTCTTTGGGGGCTGGCCCCTGGTAAAACAACAAGATTCTGGTCATATACATGGACATATATGCCTGGCTTCCCAGACGGTGGTGGCCTCTCTGTCCCCAGCACATCAATCCTGTAGGCTGCTAAACAAAGCAGGGGTGTCGGGGAGTCCCCTCCTGGTTGAGGGCCTTTGCGCCCTGTTGAGTCTGGGTCTGATCGGAGAAGTGATCATGTAGGTGGATGGAGTGGGCAGAAGGAAGGGAGGAGGGACAGTCTTGAGTGGGGGAACTTAGAAGGAGCAGTCAAGAGTACGGCCAGTGGCATTCCTAACAGTGAGATGGAGGAAGGGAGGGCTGGGCCCTGGGCCCCACTTTCCCAGAGGTGATTATGGATTGGACTCACAAGGGAGATGAGCAGAGAGGGTCAGCAGGTCCTCTGTCCATCCCACTCCTCACCTCCATGGTGGTGGGCACTTCAGACAGGAGCCCGATGGGACCACTGGATGGTAAGTGCAGAAAGGGTGGCATCTGGTCATGGATTTTATGGACCAGCCCACAGTTTCCATTGCACGCTTCTACCCTGCGGCCCACGCTCTGATGGATTAGAAGGGACGAGGCAGAGCTGCTTTTGCGGCAGAGTGGAGAAAACAGGGACAAGAATCAGTTATGGGGGAGGGAGGGGCCTTCCCTTTCCAGGTAGTCGCAGGGTCAGAATCACTTCCTGAACTAGATTAGGGCATCTTCAACCTGTGGGTAATGTTTCCTGCCAGGAAACAGATGCATTCTCAAAAGGAACTATTTATAACGTGTGGAGAGAGTTGGAGGGAAAACGGCAAGATACGTGATCCACCTTAAAGGCTGGCAGCAGCAGGAAGCCATTATGCCACTCTGAGCCTCCATGGACGGGGATAGATGAGTCCACAGCAAGCAAGGACCGCCCTTAGGAGCCATGGCCTTAGGTAGAAGAGTACAAGGCTGTCAACCTGTAGCCCAGCAAAGAGGAACCCAGGGGAATTGATACCCACCCTTCCTCTTCTCCTGCCCTGGGGCCTCCTGTTGGCACCTGCTATTGGTTAAACCCATCTGGAAGCCTGAGAACAAGGGAACCCCGCTGATAAGGTCCAGCGAGGGCAGCCCCCCAGGAGACGGAGCAGGGTGAGGAAGGGTGGAGGACAAAACGAAGGGGCTGATGGAAACTACCCAGCACAGGAGGGGGCAAATGAGTGCCCTCTGAACATGTAGGCAGAGTCTCTTCCACCTAGACTGCCACCCTTTTGTCCTGAGCCTTCCCCACCACTTTTTCAAGTACTGTCTCATGGAGGAGATATGGCCCCTGCCCTCATGGAATGCCCAGTGTTGAGTGGAGTGCAGGTACAGGCCAGCAGAGAACAAGTCAGAAGCAACTGTAGAGTCCTGCCTGCATAACCAGCTCTCTGTCCCAACACATTGCAGATCCCAGGGCTGCGCCCACTGAAGTTAAAGTCCGAGTCATGAACAGCACAGCCATCAGCCTTCAGTGGAACCGCGTCTACTCCGACACGGTCCAGGGCCAGCTCAGAGAGTACCGAGTGAGGAAGCCAGCTCCGGACTCACCTAACTACCCAGCTCACTAACCAGGGCCAGGGGTAGCAAATGCGGGCTATAAGATATTTGAAAGAAACCCTAGCGTTGTTTATTGAATCCAGGGTTGACTCAAGAAGATAATGTCTAGGGTTAGATGTTCAAAAATATACCCAGAAAAAAAAATTATATATATATGTGTGTGTGTGTGTATATATATATATGTGTGTGTGTGTATATATATACGCATATATATATATATATATATATATATATACACCCAGATGTGTCCAACAGATATGCTGAGAGATTCTGCTCAGCAGAAAATCACGTGAAAGGTGGTGGGTTTGGGTTGGTGTTGCATAGCACGTTGCGTTTGGAATACATGCGTGAGTGGGCACACATGTATCTTCAGAGCAGTGTTGAGGCACCGCTGAGCTACTCCCCTCCCCTCTCCCAATGGCCCCTACTGGGCTCCTTATCTCCTAAGCCACAACTAACAGGCAAAGCCACTGAAAGCATGCAAATGCCCTCCCTGTTGTCGCAGCCAACTCCAGATAACCCAGTATATGGACTATCAAGGCTCTTGGCTTCTCTTGGTCCTCCCTGCCTGAGAGCAGTTTCTGCTCTATCATCCATCCTCTTCAAAAGGGTGAGCTCAGATGGGAAGAAGAGAGAGAGCACCCAGGGTATACACGGCGCTCCCTTCTGAGTAGCGCTAATTAAAAGTTGGCTGGAAAGTGAGGGAGGCAGTAACTGTGATTAATGCACGTTCTGTGGCCTCAGAGGTCATCAGGAGTTGGCTGATGGACAGTTGGAGGCAGAGCAAGAGAGGCTAGTCTCTTCCCAGGAAATGAATTTGGCCAGTAGGGGAAAGAAGGCAACGTGATGTGTACACTTGAATGAGCTCTTCCCCACAGATGACTTGCACCCTTAACCTACTTGCTTAGAGATTTTTCTGGCTAAAGCTTCCCCATGGGTCCCCCTCTAAGTCTGGACCCCTTCCTACCTTGCCACAGGCAGCCTGGGAGACACTGGCGTGGCCAACTGACCTGTGGCTTCTTACCCACTGCTAATTAGAGACTTCTTGTTGCCCAAACTCATTCCACTGCCCCCTCCAACACCACCATCTTCCATAGCTGTCCCTTCCCATCCAAGCTCTGCTACCATGCAGCCTGGCATCCCACTGACTTGGACATGTGACTGTCTCATCCCTAAAGATCTTCCAACAATATGAAAAGAAGTCATTTTACTTCAAAGGATTAAATCAACCCTTTCTCATATTCAGACTTCCGGGGGTAACTTGCTACCTTTCAACTGCTGCCTGCCGTCAATCTAAACCATACTAATCCAATTCAAGGTGATGTGGTCTTTGAGCACAGAGTGGAGCTTTCCATGCCTGGACCCTTGGCTCACTATTTTTGGTTCTGGCACGGACTCCCTGAGCAACCTGGTACCCACCTTGGAAATCAGTCTCATGATGGAGCAGCTCAGATGTAAGTTTGGCCAACTTGCTCATTCCCCAAAGACGTGGCATGGATCAGAAAATAATTGGAACCAAAACCCTTATTTCTTGTTTAATATAAATTCATGTTCAGGAGTGGCTAATGAGCGGGGATTAAAAGGCTGCTTCCTCAGCCTGGATAGGACTGATGAGGTCATTTGGGACTTGGAGGCTGTAGCAAGCAAAGGAAAGACCGGTCACTACCACCACCACTAACAACTAACCCAGCCCTGCCTGCCTGACCCCTCACCAGCCTGCCTCTGTCCCGAAGGCCTACTACTGGAGGGAGAGCAGCTTGCTGAAGAACCTGTGGGTGTCTCAGAAGAGACAGCAAGCCAGCTTCCCTGGTGACCGCCTCCGTGGCGTGGTGTCCCGCCTCTTCCCCTACAGTAACTACAAGCTGGAGATGGTTGTGGTCAATGGGAGAGGTGATGGGCCTCGCAGTGAGACCAAGGAGTTCACCACCCCGGAAGGAGGTAGGTCTGGCCTGCAGCTCTTCAGGGTGGGGCAGGAGAAGGGTGGCACACACCTTGGGCCTGGAGAAACTCCAGCGTGGCTCAGCATGGATGGCACAAGGTGACTTCTGCGAGGCCTCCAGGAGCGGATGACCTGCAAGCCGAGCCACTACAGCCATTCCCAGACCACCATCGCCAAGGTGACCTGCCCTGCGAGGAGGTTGTATCTCAAGAGAAGACCTGTGAGGTCTGCTGACATAATTCCAGACGGGTTATGCAGACTGATCCCCGAGGGCACGGCGGGCACCTGGGCCACCCCACCACCTTCCGAGGCAGAAGGCAGCACGTCCATCCTGACTGCCTGGAACCATCTGATTTGTTTGCCAGCACCCAACACCTTCACGGTTCTCCCCCCACGTTCTCAAGAAGCCGTCACTGAAATAGTCGGCCTGTGTGTGCGGTGGCTCTGCAGAGGGATACCCAAGTATAGCCCCGCCTTCTGCAGGCCTATGGTTTCACATGGCCCTGGGGTCAAAACCCCTATTTTTTGTTTCACATAAATTCAAGTTCATGAATTAACAGATGACTGCAAAGTTCCTGGTTCATCTCCTTGTTCTTGCCAGTCTTCTTTTATCTGCTTTGCATCTGTTTCATCCTCCTCCGTTTCTCCTCCCTCCCTCTTTAATTGTTATTTTCCCCATTTTTCCTCTTCTCTTCCTCCTGTCCTCTGTTCTTCCCTCTTGTTCTCTTTATCCCTGTCTTTCCCTCCCCTTGGTTTGGTTTTCATCATTGGCCTCTCCCCAACACTCCCACCCTCCCACCTCTTCCGGATGTTCCACCCTGGCTTTCTGTCTCCTTACCCCTGAACCCAACATTCTCAGCTCAGAAGCCTGGGCCTGCTGCCTGGACCCAGTGATGAGAATCCTTATCTGAGGATAGGGAACTGCAGCCTCTGTACAAAACAGCTGTAAGTGGTTCTCTACCTAGGAATGGCTCTGCCCAATTTCGAGGTATCTTTGCAGAATCAGAGCCTAACATGTGCTGAATCCAGAGTAGTTGCTAGAAGAAAACCTGATTTACTTCTTCCTCTCTTAAATAGCAGAGTCTGAGCTATGTTTGTCCTCAGACCTGAAGGAAATAGCATCCTGGATGGGGCAATGGGCTCCGGTCGTCTCACGGTTCTCCCAGGCTTCAGTTTAGCAGTGTCGAGCATGGGGGTTGTCCAGAGGTCAATGCCTTCATACTTGTGCTTTGTTTTTTGTGTTTTCCTCATCCTCCCTGCCCCCTCCCCCTCATCTCCCCTGCTCTCTCCTCCTTCCCCAAGTACCCAGTGCCCCTAGGCGTTTCCGAGTCCGGCAGCCCAACCTGGAGACAATCAACCTGGAATGGGATCATCCTGAGCATCCAAATGGGATCATGATTGGATACACTCTCAAATATGTGGCCTGTACGTTCTGCCCTTCCCTTTCTCTTAGATAATCTGGGAACCAGAAACCCCATTCTCACCACTTTTCCTAAGGACTCAAGGTAGAAAGCCTGTGGGTGCAGATGGCATTGTGGAGGGATGGAGGGGCCAACGAAACAGTTCCCAATAGGATTAGGGGAGGCAGATGGGACTCAATCCCTGCTCTCCTTTCATAGTTCTGCCTGCAGGGAGCTTCTAGTCTCACTGATGAGACAAAGGGACCTCCAGTCTAATGAAGCAGACAGCCATGCCTTTAGGGATCTTTTGTAGTCTCCAACACGTACAGAGTCTAGGAGAGAGAGTTCCTCAAGCTCTGGAGCTTCCACCTGATGGGGTAGATAGTATACTCACAGGAGTCCACAGTCAGGACACCCCTTGACAAGATGTCATTTATGATAAGGCAGCTGCATGTAGAGCTGCCCGGTGACTGTGGGGTGACCCGAATCAGGAGCCTGGGTTGGAAAGACCCCACCTCAAGAGCTCAGCATCACCATGCAGGGACAGGAGTGCCATTACATTTGAAACACTTTAGGCCTTCAAAAGTAGGTAACGTACCTCGTTAGGAAACTCAAAGAGCCAAATGTTGTGTTGTTAGCAATTTTAATAGCCAACTCTGTGCTTGTATGCTGTTCTGAATTGATCTCTGGACCAGACCCTTTCACCCTTTGAGGTCCATTGAATAGGCACTTTACAAAGGAGGCATTAAGAATCAAAAGGCCTAGTGGCGTTGTCCTAGTTCTGTTTGAAAGGAAGAAAGAAAGTGAAGAGTTTTGTCCTTGTTGAAAGGGCTTAAGAATATAAACGGAATCTTTCTGAATCAGCCACATAACTCTGCAGTGAGCTAGAGACAACAGGATCAGTGAAGAAGGATTAACCCTGGGTGTAATCAAAGAGCCCGGAGGGAGTTCTTGCCGAGTGTTCTGCCTTTGAACCAAGCCTTTAAGATCACCAGGCAGGTGCCATCATTTCCCTTTCCAGCAAAGTCAGGAAAGTGTTCTTCCTCCAGCTTGCAGATTATATAACCCATCAATAAATGTTGCTAAAGTTTAATTCCACTTACCTCTCTCTCCCCAGTTAACGGGACCAAAGTAGGAAAGCAGATAGTGGAAAACTTCTCTCCCAATCAGACCAAGTTCACGGTGCAAAGAACGGACCCCGTGTCACGCTACCGCTTTACCCTCAGCGCCAGGACGCAGGTGGGCTCTGGGGAAGCCGTCACAGAGGAGTCACCAGCACCCCCGAATGAAGGTAGGTGCATGGCAGCAGCCCCTGGGGTAAAAGGTCCCAGCTAATTCCGAGGCCTAGAGAAACACTGAGATCTGTAGCTGGCTGCCTGGGATGGAGAGGAAATGAGACTTGCAAGTCCTCAAGCCCTCGGAAGGTGAGAACCCATCTTATGTGTGAGAGGTAGGTGCTGGCATTGTATCTGGAGCTCAGCTCTCCTTGGACCACTGTGGTCACACCTGGGTCCCCACTTGCCCTGACTTGCTCAGTCACTTGACATCTATCATCTTTCCTTCTTGTAGAGGAATAAGGAAGAGAGCATGAGTTGAGAAATGAGAGAAATCATAATGAACTCCAAAGAACAGTGAGTGTTCACCTCTTGAGGGAGGCAGGAATATGATTGTGAGTGCTCCCATGAGGGCTCTGGGGACAACCTTCTTTCTTCGAAGGCACATGGGTTCAAGGAGGTAGGGGAAACCGTCAGGATGACGCTGTTACTGGCATCATGAGTAGAGCAGAGAATGTGGTCCTTCCTTGCAGCCTGAATTGGATGCGTTGTCAGGCTGCAGAGAGGAGGAGGAGTTAGGAAACAGCCATTTGCCAAGCCAGCTTCACAAAGAGCAAATGAGTTCATCACCTGGGTCCAGGCGTCATCTGGCAGCATTTCAGCCCCACCAGAGCTGCACCTGCCTGAGGACTCCACTAGAGGGGGCTCCAGGCTCACCCGCACACGCACTGGCATCAGGGGAATGTGCAGTCTGGGACCTCTCGAGGAGGCAAGGCTGCAAAAGCCTCAATACTGGCACACCCTCTGGGAAAGGCTGGGGACCCCCGTGTGTCTCCAGAGATACAATGGTCTATTCAACAGCCATTTCTTGAGTACCCACAATGTGAGGTGCCAGACACTGCCACACACAAGGGATATACAAAGGTAACAAGAAGCTCACACCATCTAGAGGGGGAGTCATCTATAAGAATATCTAATTGCATGTCTAAATGAGGGGGCGCAGTGGCTGGGCAGAGAAGGGGATTCAGTCTTCACGGGAAGACTCCAGAGAAGAGGTGATGTGAGTGGGCACTCTGGAAGCTGACAAGTCATCGTGTCTGGTGCTTTCCACAGAAGGGTCAGGTCCCGTGGCCTGGCCCAGGCCCAGACGGGGTCTTCTGAATACCACCCCTACCCGCATTCCAGGAGAGCATCAGTGCTGCCTTCTCTGGGGCTACCAGGCCCGCTGCGTCACCCCGGGATCCCAGGCAGCTTCACAAGCTGCCCACATCCTTCCCCAGCCCACCACTCTAGCCAGTAGACCAGCGCTGAGGCAGGAGAAGAGGGGCCAGGCAGAAGCAGAGAAAGGCTGACAGCCCGCTCTGCATCCCTCTCTGGTCTCAGAAACCAGGAGTGAGTCACACAACCAGCTCTCCCTCCTGCTGTGCTCTTCTGCACTCTCCCAAGCCCCTGGGCACTCGGGAAGTTTATTAGGGCAGGGGGACTTAGGTTAGTGGCTGATGTGTGTCTGTCACCAAAGGCCAGGCCAGGCCAGGCCATGATGCACTTTCTTGATTACTCAATTCTGCAAATAGATAGATAAAGAGAGCCCCTTCTTCCCTCCCTATGTGCACCCCAATACAGAACATCAGATAACAAAGCCCTATTGTCCAGCCCCAGTAACCACCACAGAGAATGTTCTGCAGCCCCAGGGGACAAAAGGACAAATAGAGGCTTTTTTCTTAACTTAGGGCTTTGCAGAAAATTCAAGAATTTCACTTAGGGCTCTCAGTCCAAAAAAAAAAAAAAAAGAAAAAGAAAGAAAAAAGAAAGGGCTCTCAGTCCAAACTTGGGTTTCTAACTTCATAAAGTCCAACTGGAGGGGAAGAATTGGAGTGACGGAATACCAGGAGAGGGGCTCCAGGCTCCATCCTTCAAAGTTCCCGCCTTCCAAGGTTGCGATGGTGTGGAGTGGGTGCAGCTGAACATGCTCCCTCTCTCCTATCCATCCCACTATTCAGCATCTTCCCCCAAAGACAGGAACCATCCTTTTGACTGGAGTTGGTGTCCTCCCACACCACCTACTCCTTATCCCCTCAATTCCTGGCATCATGGAGCGTCACCCAGCCTGCTCAAAGGTCATGCCAACCTAGCCAGAGCAGGACATGCTGTTGAGGACAGAGCTGGGAACATAATGCTCTGAGTGGACTGTCCCTGCAGCCACCTTTTAGATGTCCAGTCCTTGAATCGAGGTAGAAACAGTGTGTTAGAAAGGTCTCCAAGGCCCAGGTGGAAAGGTTTCTGTAGGAACATGCCTGACTCAGGTGGAGTTGACCGTGAACCCTGAATGCCAGTTGGCATCCTCAGGCCAGCAGCCAGCACCTGGCCACGCCGTCTGCATAAGGTTTGGGCTGGAACCTTCCCTGCTTTCCTTGTCCTGTGGTCTCACTTGTGCTCTGTTTTCTCTTCCCTTTTCCATCCTTTCTCCCTCTGTCTGGCCATCTTGGGCGCTGTGTTCTGAAGCTACTCCAACCGCAGGTACCGTACCAGCCGCGGAGGTAATGGGCATGGCATGGGGCAGCGCAGGCGGAGCCCAGCCCAGCCAGGGCGGACAAGGAGGGAGAGGCTCAGGCTGAAAGCATGCTCCAGACTCACCCTTTCAGTGGTTGGGAAGCCAGACTGTCAAGAGGGATGTGTGTGGAGGATGGGACCAGAGGAGAGCAAGCCCACTTTCCCCCCTTCCCAAACTATTTGCCCCCTGCTGAGTAGGAGAATGGCTCAGCAGGGGTCACACACACACCGGCCCTGACCTGCTCTCTGGAGCTGCAGTTTCATTCTGACACTGAGTAGATTACTTCCCGTTAACCACCTGAGTCCTTGCCTGGGCTTGACAGCTCAGAGCAGTGTCCCCAGCTGTGGCCCTAGAAGGCGCGCTGCAGCAGGAGCAGGGACAGCTGGCTCCTGGTGGGGCTGCCATCTCCTGAAAGGGTGAACATGCTGTGCATGCCAGCTTCGCATGCTGCATGGGGGCCCGGCACCGGCTCTGCCAGCCACCACGGGCTCTGCTCAGTGAGAACAAGCAAGCATGTCCATGGATAGGGCCAGGTGCTCCAGTTCCTGGAGTCTCAGCAGGCACCGTGGGCTGATTATCTCCTCACCCTTCAGAAACCCAGCTTTTCCAAGTCTTTATCGTTAAGAACAGTCTCCACTCTCGGGGTATGGGAGGTAGATCTACAGTGGACTAAGGTGCTGGGCAGCTCTGGGCTTAGGACCTGCTAATCAAGTTACTCCTCTCCAGTCCTCATGTCATGGGTTTGAGGGTCATCAAAGGGCTCTTCATCACAGTTGGCCTGTCCCCAGGCTGGAGAAACGAGGCAGGGGACCCCAGGGTTCCTTTCCAGGCCCTCCTCTGAGCCTGAATTACATCAGATGGGAAATGAGAACAGGATTCACCCTGGCAGAGCAAAGGCTACAAGCAAGTGCTCAGCAGAGCCTCCTTACATGCCAGGCAGTGGAGGGAGGGCTGAGGACCGGGCCAGGAATCTGAGGGTTGGCTTATGAAGGGGATGCCACCTTGCCCAATTCGATTTCCTCCTCGCCTTTGCTTATTCATCCCCACCCCCATCCTAGGTTGATTCTATTTCTGTTGCATACCCTGCTTCCTTCAGTTTGTGTATGTTTTGCGGCCAGATCTGTGGATGGTGAGCTGCCATCATCCTTCCCTCTCTCCCTCAGTCCTCAACATTCACCCACCACCCCAGTGCCTCCCCACAAGGTCTGAACACCCCTGTGAAGATGTGAGGCAGAGAGGTGATCCCAGGCCTGGGGAACAGGGTGAGAGCCATCCTTGCCACACTGGGGGCCTCCCTGACTTCCTGCTTGAAGTTTACGTAAGTCTCTCCCGTGACGAAGAGGAAACGCAGGGAGGGCACCAGGCGAATCAGCTGCAAGCTCAATGGGGAAGCAGCTCCCCGTCCACCTCCCCTGTTCTGGCACCCTGGGACCCAAGGCAGGTGGGCCTGGTGGCAGGCAGTCTGTCTTGTTCAGTGGGCATCTGTGCCGGCCTGTGCTGTCCCTCTACTGAGTGGGTGAGAGGTATCTTTGCAATCACCCCACTTCCTACTTCCCATTTAGAAAAGATCTACACTCATCCAGCATGAGCTCACGGTCTCAATCAAATGTTTCCTGGGCTCCAGCTTCCGTGTGACATGGCAGTGGAGGCAGATTGCACTTTTTTGGAAATGAGATGTGCTGATAACATCAGCTGTTCTCAGCTTTAAATGCGTAAGAACCTTCTGCACAATGAGCAGGTGCCAAGCAACGAAACTCGGGTTCCATGTTTCTGACGTGGGCCTGGCGTCCGGCCCACTGCTGTCTTCCCTCTCGTCCTCTCCAAACCTGGGCACTATTTCCCCAAACTGCCCTGTTCATCTCTCACCCAGTGAAGATAATCCCTCTCATCCACCTGTATCTGTAGTCTCTTAGGATTGCTGCCCGTCTGTCTGACAATCTGTGATTTGGCCGGGGTAGTCAACACGCCATGTGGACATTTTTGGACTAAACCTTCCACCTTGGAATGTAAGGAAGTGCTGTTCTCTTCTTTGACCCAGCTCAGGTCTGCAAATGTTTGGTGGGCTCTTGATAGGTGCCCTGTTCCGTGGCAGGTTCTGGGACAGAAAGATGAATGACACATGTCATCTCTCCTCAGTGTTCTCCATCTCATGCATGGTGCTCCCTGAAACCCACCTGGAAAACCCTTGGCCGCAGCCAGGGTGCCTTCCAGTGTGCATTAGGTCACAAACCTGTGAGGTTGACGCTGCCATCTAGGAAGGGCCTTGTGCTTCCAGCCGAAGCCCACTCAGGATCCCCCCTTAGCTAACAGAGAGTCTCTGCCCGCTGTCCTTGGTCGCCAGGCTGATGGTCTCCACTGAGCACTGGCCAGGATTGCTTCCAAACCTGTAGCTCCTATTGCGGCAGGAAATGACATCCTAGCCCAGTCATGTGTCTGCCCAGCCTGGTGCTGCTCTGTTGGTAAGCCCTACTTCTCAGCTTCGTTGCTCTTCTATCCTCTCCTCCACCTCAGCCCCAGGGGATGAAATAATCTGAATCTCCTTAGACCTGAGCAGTGGAAGGTTTTCCCCATGGAACACTTGTCCTCCTCTCGTTCCCACCTGTACTAGCCCCCTGACAGCTCACTGCCTGACTCTTCTGCACCTTCCCTCGGAGGCTTTTCTTCTTTCCTCCACCCTCCCTAGCTCTCTGGAGGCCCTGTCTTGCCTTGGGACAATAGACACAGCTAATGAGTGGGTCGGAGATGTGCCAGCAGTGACCTTAGCCAGCTGAGGTTGTATCCTCTATGGTAACTTCAATGGTGGGAGCCCCGGGGAGGCTGCCGGAAAGTGACCCCTTTCCTCTCTCTCATCTCTTGCTCCCTCTTACTAAGCCTGAGCCAGACAGGAAGCAGCTAGGTAGCCATCATCAGAGAAAAATGCTTCCTTTCTGCCACACTTGGCAGAAGTGGCCATCAGGGGAGGGGACAATGCAGTGTAGAAACATCTTCAGAGCCATCTCTCATCCTTACCTCTGCCCAGCAGGGCCGGTGAGGAAAATGCTGTCACCTGGGCTCTCTTGACACCTCTGTCCCCCAGCTACTCACTGGAACATCCTGGGAAGTGTGTGCCCCCAGCTATGGCCCTGTTGGGGTATGAGTGTGTGTGTGTCTCTGCGAGTCTGAGGGCCACATGAGAGAGTGTAAAGCTTTGGGGAAGACTGACTTGGATTCTGGGGCCTGGGAAATGTAGCACCACTGCACCTGTAGGAAGGGAGGCCCAGGCTCCTGCACTACGCGGTGTGATGATTCAGGTTAAAAGGGAGTGTTTGCTTTTTTGTTTTGTTTTGTTTACTTGAGGCAGAGTCTCGCTCTGTCGCCCAGGCTAGAGTGCAGTGGCTTGATCTCGGCTCACTGCAACCTCCTCCAAAGGGAGTGTTTTCTAATGATGCCTTTTAGATAGTCATGAGAAGGGCTACCTTGTAAGCATTTGATTTGTCAGAAATTATTAGAAAATATACTATTGATAAGGAACTCCGGCAGGTGCACACTTTGGGAGGCTGAGGCTAGAGAATTGCTTGAGCCTGGGAGTTCAAGACCAGCCTGGGTTCCATGACAAAACCCCATCTCTACAAGAAATACACAAATTAGCCAAGCATGGTGGACCTGTAGCTGGACCTATAGTCCCAGCTACTCAGGAGGCTGAGGTGGGAGGATTGCTTGAGCCTGGGAGGTCGAGGCTACAGTAAGCCATGATCACACCACTACACTCCAGCCTGGGTGACAGAGCAAGATCCCGTCTCAATTAAAATAAAAAAAATCAGAGCAGTCCTGCCCAAGTAGACAAAATAATTGCTCCAGGTCTGTGCCAGCAGCACAGAGCAGCGGAAAGAGCCCATGTGTGTCTATGGCCATGAGAGCTGCAGGGAGCAGGCCTGGGAGAGAACTGACCTTTGCCCCATGGGTCTCTCAGGCTTTCCCATGTATGATGTGTGCACAGTGTGTGTGTGTGTGTGTGTGTGTGTGTGTGTGTGTGTATGTGTGTCGGTGGGTGGGGATAAGTGAATTCCCTCTTGTTGAGTGTTTTTAGTGCTGAGATTATATTCCAGGCCTGAGGCCATCCTGGACTGAGCACAGCCCTAAATAAAGAATCTGAGAGGGAGAGTTGCCCCACCGCTCACCCCTCCGCACGCCGCCCTGATGTCTGTGGGTTGACCGGGGTTTGGGGAGTATAGCATTGTGAGCTTTGAGCCTGCCCAGGAACCTCTGGAACGTATGGGGCATAGTCAGCTGCCCAGTGTGACTTCGGTGGCCAGCACCCTCGGGGCACAGTAGTACCTCTGATCTTATTAGCAGGGAAGCAGGAGTATTCCCTCCTTCTCCAAAGAGGGACTTGTAATTTTGGAGACCCAAGGGAATGAAAGGGCTTTTGCTGGGCAGGCTCTGGCTGAGAAGGCTTAGGATCACTTCACTCTCCCTTAAAAAAAGCTCTCTGGCAATTCTTTCTCTGGCATCCCTCCCTGCCCTAGCCCCTTTCTCGGGGATATTATTTTCCTGAGAGATTTGAGGCTGGGTAGGATTCCTTGGGAGTGAGAGTTAGCTGCCTGTGTTTTAAAGTCCCTGCCTACTGCCCCATTAGCGTCAACACTAGAAAGTGGAGTGCTGTCAGATCACAGGAGATCCAGTGCAAGGAGGAGAGGGGGCTTTGTCTCTCTCTGCTTGGCCTCATTCTCATACTCTCAGCTTTAGCAAATATTAGATCTGCGGGTAAGGATAGGGCAGCCCTTTCCATGACCTTCTATATCAGGAAAGAAGACCTGTGAAAAAGTTGTCACATACATAAGCTTAGCCCTCCCAAGCTGACCAACATCCAAGGATAGCTTTGGGTGGGAGATGGGTGTCATGAGAGGGTTAGCCCAGATCTGAACAATTCTGTGCCCCATGAAGATTTATGCAGAAAAGAAGCCCAGCATGCGCCTCACTCTGCCTGGGACTCCTCTGTCTGCTGTGGGCTGGGAAGGTGGTGCTGCTGAGTGCGGGTTATTCCATTAGCTCCCTCTTCCCATGTTCTCATGTGAATAGAAAGCACCTGGGGTACCTGGACCCAAAGTTCCTAGAGAGAAAGGCAGTTATAAGAAGTGTCACTTTGGATTAGGGTGGTTGCAGGAAGGGCTACCACTGAGCAGAGAAGGGAAAGAGAGGGAGGAGAGGCAGGGGAATGACCGAGGAGAGCCAAGACCGGAGGAGGGCGAGGGCAGGCAGAACGCCGTGCAAGGCTCACCCGCGCAGAGTGGAGATTGTTCCCTCTCTGTCATCGGGTTTGGGTGGCTGTTTGGGCTCATGCAGGCATGACAAAGGGTGATTTTGGAGTGATTGGTTGGGAATGGCAGGCCACTCTAGGCCTCTGCTGGACAGGGCCCCACCGCCTGCCCACCTCTAGGCTGGGGCTCCAGGGCTGGACCCAACTGGTGCTGCTTGGGCCTGTGTCTGGGTGGCATCTGGCCAGTGTTTGGCCTGGGGCTCCATGCCATCCCTGGGGTCTGAGCGATTCAGCCCGTGCCCCCTTCCCGTCTCATCCTCACGCATCCTTGGCTGGGTGCATGCTGGGTGTTTCGAGCCACGCAGACCATGAGAAGAAAATGAAACACACACAGGGCTTCATTCTCTTCCTCTCCCATGGTTGTGTCTTCTGTTGCTGCGACCCGTCTGACCCAGTCCGTTATGCTTGGGGAGGCTCCTGATGACTAAGCCCCGTCTCCTCACCGGGCTGCCTGCCTTGCACGCGGGGGCCGTGTGTCCAGGCTGGGCACAGCCAAACCAACCAGACTCGGCTGTTTTACATTTCCCTCTCAGCTCCTCCCACATTGCCCCCGACTACCGTGGGTGCGACGGGCGCTGTGAGCAGTACCGATGCTACTGCCATTGCTGCCACCACCGAAGCCACAACAGTCCCCATCATCCCAACTGTCGCACCTACCACCATCGCCACCACCACCACCGTCGCCACAACTACTACAACCACTGCTGCCGCCACCACCACCACGGAGAGTCCTCCCACCACCACCTCCGGGACTAAGATACACGAATCCGGTACTGCGCATCGCCCATGCTCCCCATCCCCTCCTGGCCCGCCTCCCCAGCGGCCTCCAGACGAACCCACAGGCTCCCCCAGCGAGGAGGTGGGGTCTGGGGTGGTGTTTGCCACCACCTCCCTTTGTGTTTCCTTTGGAAACTCACCCGTGACTGGATGCTCAGTCCCGTAGCCTGGAGGCCCAGATCTCCCCAGCCTGGCCCTGACACACACACACTCCTTGGGTGGTCCTCCACCACTCAGTACCCCAAATTCTAGCTTCAGATCCCTGTTCCTTAACAGACGGCCAAGCTCCTTGGGCAGGGCCCCCAGGTTCCAGATGTTAGGACCGCCTCCAGCTACATGTCAGGCAGTCAGCTCAGAGCCGAGCACTCCAGAAGGAAGACAGCGTGAGGAGGGGAAAAGGACCAGATACTGTACAGCTGGCCTGAGGGAGTTTCCTGCCCTGGCCACGTCTGCGTCCGGCCTAGAGGCTGAGCAGCAGGGAGTGGCTGTGCCAGGCAGCTCTGTTCCCAGAACCCCTGTCCCTTCCTTGCCTCTCCTTCCGCGAGGAACACTTACAGACTTTTCTTTTACAAAGTCAGAGCTTCCAGGAAACTGTATTGCCAAGGAGGCCCTTAATGCCAAACTCACATTCCCCAAGCCCTCAAATGCAGGCATGGAGGGAAAATTACGGGCATTCTCAGAGCCCCTGGTAAGAATCGATCCCAGGGCTGGTACGCTGAGCCACGAGAATGCACTGTTCCTGTATCATGCAGCCAGGCCAGGAAGCTCTGTTCTTCCAGTTCGGGGAGACCCCAGGGGAATTCAGCGATACTTCCAAGCACTGAGCATCAGTCTTTTATTACCAACAAGGGGAAGGTCTGTAGCTTCCTGAGCTCACAGGCCAGCTATAAAATCAGCGTGAGGCAGCCAGGAAGCACCCAGAACTCTTCTGCCACAGTTGTAGAATTGTAGGACCCAGTGGGCACCACCTTTGTCTCCTGGGCAAGTCCCTTTACCTTCCAAGGCCTCCTTTCTCCCACCCTGCTCCACTTTTCTCAGCCTCCTGAATGAGGATGGAGGCTTAATAGACATGAGAGGATTTTGTTTTCAGTTCAATGACATAGAGTTAAGTGAGCTGTCAGGGAAGACGAGAGGCATAGCTGCTGTGAGCTCCTGAGACCCTGAAAATGCTGGTTTGCTTCACAGGTGCCATCTAGAACTTAACAGGCACTTTCGGAAAAAGTTGGCTGAGGAGGAACCTGCTGGGGTATTAGAAGCTGCCACCAGCGGGTTGGTGATTGATGTTCTTTGGGGCCACGGTGAGGCATCTTTTTCATTAAAAAGTGGGGCTTTGTGTCCTACAAGTGCTTTGAGTTCAGAGAAAAGATGAACCAAAAATGAAGAAAGGAAGTGGCTCTTGCTTCCCCAGCAAAGAGTTACTTGCCTTCTGAAACACAGGCCTTGTTGCCACATAGGACCAGCCCCTCCAGAGTCTCACTCCTCAAGTTCTGTGAGACGCTGCAGAGGACCTGGCCATGGCCTTGATCTTATCTAGACCTTGGGAACACCCCTCAACCATCCTCACCTCACTTCAGCAGAATGGCTGTCTAGGACTTTAAAAATGAATGTTCACCTTTATCGTGCCTTACATCTTGGAAAAAGATGTTTCATAAGTTTACTCTTCTCAGGGTGAAATAGGCCTTTTTATTTGTCCTTCGCCTGTCTTTTTCAGATTTCCAGGGAGATTCCTTAATTCTTACATTCCAGGAGTCAGTGAGACAATCTATGCTTCCCCTCCCTGACCCTTTTTGTGTTTCTCGGTGTTGATATTTCACATGCTTGGTCCTTCTCTTTGAACTTTTTAGTGCTTCCGGGTCATCATCCTGATCTCTCTGTGGCAATGCCTTCCTCCAGCTCCCACCTCTAAATCATCTTGGCTTCCCACTGCCTGGCCTTTTCTAAAAGAACCCCAATCTTCATTGCCTTTAAAACAGCCAGATTTGAGTCAATTTCATATTGGTGGCCAGACTGTTTAAACACAAATTCTCTAGCTATTTACAGGGCTCAGAGCTGAGGAGGAAGAAACTCAAGTCCCCAAATAATGACTAATCACAATTCATTCTCACCAGCAAGAGCCATGAAATTCTAAGGAGCTGGAATTTGGGATGGCTTCAAGTGGCCAGTACAATTGAAGCGTCTGGCAGACAGGCAAAGAAGCCTACCTTCTCCCCTCCCCACGGTGCCATCAATGGAATCACTTTCTTGGTCCCTCACTTAATATGAATCATATTCACCTGGGGCAACCAACGCCTGACAGAGTTGTAGTGCAGAAGGCACCTCTTTGAAGTGAAAACCAGGAGATCTTTTATCACTTCCCCAGCCCTGCAGGCTCAGTCACATGTCAAATAGATAATGAATAAATGCATCGCCAATGCACTCTATTCATTTATTTTTGACAAGTGAGTTGGTGACAGTGCCCCCTTGCATGCTAATAAAATATACAGCAGCCACACTTGTAAAGTCTTTGAAATACGAGGCTTCATGCAAGTACTCCACTATTAAATCTTTGCTGGAAAATGGGGTAACCAGACTGCTGGGACTCTTGCAAAATGATTACGTTTGAAGATTAGTGCCATTCTCCTCTACACAGGCTATGGTTTCAGACAGCACCATGGCTTTGATAAAGTGGCTCCCAGCTCATAGGAACTTGATAATTAATGTCCTCTGTGTTGCATAGAGATCAGGCATCAAAAACTCGGTGGTGCTGAGACGCCAACAGAACAGGATTCTTCTGGTGTCTGGACCACTGAGGGCTGGTTGTCAAGGAGTTATCTTCTCTTGGTCGCACCTAGTCCACGTGAGGGAGAGGAAGGCTTCACATTGTCTTTACTTGGGCCCCTGAGATTCTAGGCTTTAGACAATCTGAAGCTGTTAGACCTATCAGCCAGGCTTCTCTCTGACCAAGGACAACCCAAGGGGCTCCTTAGACCAGCCTCACCTGTCTGGATCACCATTCTCCTCCAGCTTCAAAAGTCCATCCTTCCTGCAAATCTCATCAAGACTCGCGGCTCTTAAAGATAACCCTCTCCTTCCTGCAGCACTTCTATGCTTGAAGGGGAAGGGGCTGGCACACATCTTCTCTGTGTGGCCTCCTCCTCCTGGCCACACGGCCTTTTTCCTGGCCCCTTTCCTTACACTGTTGACATGACAAGGGATCTGAAAAGGGAATAAGTCCAGGTTAAAGCCTCAAATGGCACAGATCAAAACCCACTCTTTCTACAAAAATTTGCCGGGCATGGTGGCGGGGGCCTGTAATCTCAGCTACTTGGGAGGCTGAGGCAGGAGAATCGCTTGAACCTGGGAAGTGGAGGTTACAGTGAGTCGAGATCGCACCACTGTACTCCAGCTTGGGCAACAGAACAATACTCCATCTCAAAAAAAAAAAAACAGAAAACAAAAAAACTCTTTCATTCCTAACGCTACCTATGTGGACACAGTCAGTTTCCAGCTCTCCCTCCGAAGTCCTCCCGACTGTACCTGCTTGTCCCTGGACAGCGACCTCTGGCCTGGCCACCAAGGCTGCAGCTTGGAGCTCTGTCAGGCCCTGTGCACAGCCATTTCTGACTCTCCCCTTTCCTAGATGACTGTGTGTACATGTGTGCGTGCGCGAGTGTGGGCATGTGCGTGCATGCACACGCTTGTGTGTATGTGTGTGTCTCCATATCTCTGGTGCCACTCCCTCCTCATCACTAACCCCTTTTCTAACCCGTCCACCAGCCCCTGATGAGCAGTCCATATGGAACGTCACGGTGCTCCCCAACAGTAAATGGGCCAACATCACCTGGAAGCACAATTTCGGGCCCGGAACTGACTTTGTGGTTGAGTACATCGACAGTAAGCATTGCTGTGCGGGGTGGTGGTGGCGGCAGCGGCGTCGGCAGCAGCGGCGGGTAGTGGTAGATGCCATTAAAGAGCTCCTGTGAACTCCCCCAGGCTCAGAGAGGCCTTTTAGCCTGGCTTAATTATGGCTTAATGAAATCGATATGCACTCAGGCGGCAGTGAGGTGGGAGGAACAGGCTCAAGGAAAAGGAAGGGGGCTTCTCAAGCCATTAGTGGAAGTCTAGGATTGCATGTCTGTGGAGGACCTGGGTAAAGGGGCCCTTCATTCATTTCCTGCCCAGGATGAGGGTTCTGAATAGCCCCCAAATGAGCCAAATCTGTCCTCTGCATTGATCTCCTTAACTCAGGCTCCACTTGACTGGGTGAGCCAGTTCACAGACTTGGACTATAACCCTGCTTTGCTCCCAGAGGAATGCCAGCGGCCCCCAGTCAGAGCCACAGACCAGAGCCATTTGTCCCAGCTGGTGGCTTGAGCTGAGTTGCTCACCCTTTGCTGGAGCTTGGGACCAAGGGTACAGATTCGTTGGACTGCAGAGTGTGGCCCCTGAGTGAAGGACCCTGTTCCTACAGGGTCAAACCCACCATCCTGGCATCTTCAGTATGTGCTCTAAGCAATTAAGCCAACTAACCCAGCCAGCAAATCCACCTGGGATAGCCTACCCAAAGACCCTCTCAGGAGAGAGCAAAGCTGACTTAGTTCTCTCTGGTTGGAGGAGGAGTTCACATCCACAGCACCTGGACTCCATAGTTTGGTCCATACTTTTTCAGGCTCCTACTACCCCTATTCACCCTACAGCCTACATGCACAGGCACACACTTTTTCTGATGTGGGAATTCACCACATGGTGAGAAATGAGAGGTGAAACTAGGAATGAGAGCCAAGAGACAGAGTCCCAGCTCATCTCTGGTTTTCAGGAGGGATGCTAACTGGCTTTTGGCCCTCACCAGCCAGATCCATGTGAAAAGTTAATCGCTTCCAGGGCAACAGAGCATCTGCTGACAAGCTGAGAGTTTAAGGAAGTAGGTTATAATATGTCTAGTGTGAAGACTGTGGTGAGGAAAGCGAACTTCAGGAGAGGGAACGGTGTCCCCAGCTGAAGGGTCGTTTAAAAGCGTTAGTATTGCACAGACAGGCATAGGGAAGCTGCCTGGAAACCTCCTGGTCTGTATGGTGGACTGGACCCGCGGTTCCCTGGTCCCTTCCCCCACACTTTCTACCTTTGACAGGTGACCAGGACCTAAGCACTGGCTCTCCAGCTCCTGGTGCCTGGCTCTAGGCTGATTGAGGTTTCTGTTCCCCAGGCAACCATACGAAAAAAACTGTCCCAGTTAAGGCCCAGGCTCAGCCTATACAGCTGACAGACCTCTATCCCGGGATGACATACACGTTGCGGGTTTATTCCCGGGACAACGAGGGCATCAGCAGTACCGTCATCACCTTTATGACCAGTACAGGTGAGAGGGGACCTGGCCTG